>NC_000012.12:36966843-37185252 GCF_000001405.40 Homo sapiens
ATCATTCACAGAAACTACTTTGTGATGTGTGTGTTCAACTCAAGGAGTTTAACCTTTCTTTTGATGGAGCAGTTTGGAAAAACTCTGTCTGTAAAGTCTGCAAGCAGATATTTGGACCTCTTTGAGGCCTTCGTTGGAAACGGGATTTCTTCATATAATGTTTGATAGGAGAAGTCTCAGTAACTTCTTTGTGCTGTGTGTATTCAACTCATAGAGTTGAACTTTCCTTTAGAAGAGCAGATGTTAAACACCCTTTTTGTGGAATTTGCAGCTGGAGATTTCAAGCGCTTTGAGGCCTACGGTAGAAAAGGAAACATCTTCTTATAAAATCTAGACAGAATCATTCACAGGAAACTTCTTTTTGATGTGTGTGTTCAGCTCACCGAGTTTAACCTTTCTTTTGATGGAGCAGTTTGGAAACACTCAGCTTGTAATATCTGCAAGTGGATATTTGGACCTCTTTGAGGTCTTCGTTGGAAACGGGATTTCTTCAAGTAATGTTCGACAGAAGAATTCTCAGTAACTTATTTGTGGTGTGTGTATTCAACTCACAGAGTTGAACCTTACTTTAGACAGAGCAGATTTGAAACACCCTATTTGTGCAGTTTCCAGTTGGAGATTTCAATCGCTTTGAGACCAAATGTAGAAAAGGAAACATCTTCGTATAAAAACTAGACAGAATCATTCTCAGAAACTACTTTGTGATGTGTGCGTTCAACTCAAGGAGTTTAAGCTTTCTTTTTCATAGAGTAGTTTGGAAACACTCTGTCTGTAAAGTCTGCAAGCAGATGTTTGGACCTCTTTGAGGCTTTCGTTGGAAACGGGATTTCTTCATAGAACGCTAGAAAGAAGAATACTGAGTAAGTTCTTTGTGTTGCCTCTATTCAACTCACAGAGGTGAACTGTCCTTTAGACAGAGCAGATGTGAAACCCTCTTTTTGTGATATTTGCAGGTGGAGATTTCAAGCGCTTTGAGGCCAAATGTAGAAAAGGAAATATCTTCGTATAAAAACTAGACAGAATCATTCTCAGAAACTACTTTGTGATGTGTGCGTTCAATTCACAGAGTATAACCTTTCTTTTGATGGAGGAGTTTGGAGACACTGTCTTTGTAAAGTCTGCAAGCAGATATTTGGACCTCTTTGAGGCCTTCGTTGGAAACGGGATTTCTTCATATAATGTTTGATAGGAGAATTCTCAGTAACTTATTTGTGGTGTGTGTATTCAACTCACAGAGTTGAACCTTCCTTCAGAAAGAGCAGATTTGAAACACTCTTTTTGTGGAGTTTCCATGTGGAGATTTCAATCGCTTTGAGACCAAAGGTAGAAAAGGAAACATCTTCGTATAAAAACTAGACAGAATCATTCACAGAAACTACTTTGTGATGTGTGTGTTCAACTCAAGGAGTTTAACCTTTCTTTTGATGGAGCAGTTTGGAAAAACTCTGTCTGTAAAGTCTGCAAGCAGATATTTGGACCTCTTTGAGGCCTTCGTTGGAAACGGGATTTCTTCATATAATGTTTGATAGGAGAAGTCTCAGTAACTTCTTTTTGCTGTGTGTATTCAACTCATAGAGTTGGACTTTCCTTTAGAAGAGTAGATGTTAAACACCCTTTTTGTGGAATTTGCAGCTGGAGATTTCAAGCGCTTTGAGGCCTACGGTAGAAAAGGAAACATCTTCTTATAAAATCTAGACAGAATCATTCACAGAAACTTCTTTTTGATGTGTGTGTTCAGCTCACAGAGTTTAACCTTTCTTTTGATGGAGCAGTTTGGAAACACTCTGTTTGTAATGTCTGCAAGTGGATATTTGGACCTCTTTGAGGCCTTCGTTGGAAACGGGATTTCTTCATGTAATGTTCGACAGAAGAATTCTCAGTAACTTATTTGTGGTGTGTGTATTCAACTCACAGAGTTGAACCTTCCTTTAGACAGAGCAGATTTGAAACACCCTATTTGTGCAGTATCCAGTTGGAGATTTCAATCGCTTTGAGACCAAATGTAGAAAAGGAAACATCTTCGTATAAAAAGTAGACAGAATCATTCTCAGAAACTACTTTGTGATGTGTGCGTTCAACTCAAGGAGTTTAAGCTTTCTTTTCATAGAGTACTTTGGAAACACTCTGTCTGTAAAGTCTGCAAGCAGATATTTGGACCTCATTGGGGTCTTCGTTGGAAAAGGGATTTCTTCATAGAACGCTAGAAAGAAGAATACTGAGTAAGTTCTTTGTGTTGCCTCTATTCAACTCACAGAGGTGAACTGTCCTTTAGACAGAGCAGATGTGAAACCCTGTTTTTGTGATATTTGCAGGTGGAGATTTCAAGCGCTTTTAGGCCAAATGTAGAAAAGGAAATATCTTCGTATAAAAACTAGACAGAATCATTCTCAGAAACTACTTTGTGATGTGTGCGTTCAATTCACAGAGTATAACCTTTCTTTTGATGGAGGAGTTTGGAGACACTGTCTTTGTAAAGTCTGCAAGTGGATATTTGGACCTCTTTGAGGCCTTCGTTGGAAACGGGATTTCCTCATATAATGTTACACAGAAGAATTCTCAGTAACTTATTTGTGGTGTGTTTATTCAACTCACAGAGGTGAACCTTCCTTCAGAAAGAGCAGATTTGAAACACTCTTTTTGTGGAGTTTCCATGTGGAGATTTCAATCGCTTTGAGACCAAAGGTAGAAAAGGAAACATCTTCGTATAAAAACTAGACAGAATGATTCATAGAAACTTCTTTTTGATGTGTGTGTTCATCTCACAGAGTTTAAGCTTTCTTTTGACGGAGCAGTTTGCAAACACTGTGTTTGTATTGTCGGCAACTGGATATTTGTACCTCTTTGAGGCCTTCGTTGGAAACGGGATTTCTTCATGTAATGTTCGACAGAAGAATTCTCAGTAAGTTATATGTGGTGTGTGTATTCAACTCACAGAGTTGAACCTTCCTTTAGACAGAGCAGATTTGAAACACCCTATTTGTGCAGTTTCCAGTTGGAGATTTCAATCGCTTTGAGGCCAATCGTAGAAACGGAAATATCTTCGTATAAATACAAGACAGAAATCATTCTCAGAAACTACTTTGTGATGTGTGCGTTCAACTCAAGGAGTTTAAGCTTTCTTTTCATAGAGTAGTTTGGAAACACTCTGTCTGTAAAGTCTGCAAGCAGATATTTGGACCTCTTTGAGGCCTTCGTTGGAAACGGGATTTCTTCAAGTAATGTTCGACAGAAGAATTCTCAGTAACTTATTTGTGGTGTGTGTATTCAACTCACAGAGTTGAACCTTCTTTAGACAGAGCAGATTTGATACACCCTATTTGTGCAGTTTCCAGTTGGAGATTTCAATCGCTTTGAGACCAAATGTAGAAAAGGAAACATCTTCGTATAAAAACTAGACAGAATCATTCTCAGAAACTACTTTGTGATGTGTGCGTTCAACTCAAGGAGTTTAAGCTTTCTTTTCATAGAGTAGTTTGGAAACACTCTGTCTGTAAAGTCTGCAAGCAGATATTTGACCTCTTTGCGGCCTTCGTTGGAAACGGGATTTCTTCATAGAACGCTAGAAAGAAGAATACTGAGTACGTTCTTTGTGTTGCCTCTATTCAACTCACAGAGGTGAACTGTCCTTTAGACAGAGCAGATGTGAAACCCTCTTTTTGTGATATTTGCAGGTGGAGATTTCAAGCGCTTTTAGGCCAAATGTAGAAAAGGAAATATCTTCGTATAAAAACTAGACAGAATCATTCTCAGAAACTACTTTGTGATGTGTGCGTTCAATTCACAGAGTATAACCTTTCTTTTGATGGAGGAGTTTGGAGACACTGTCTTTGTAAAGTCTGCAAGCAGATATTTGGACCTCTTTGGGGCCTTCGTTGGAAACGGGATTTCTTCATATAATGTTTGATAGGAGAATTCTCAGTAACTTATTTGTGGTGTGTGTATTCAACTCACAGAGTTGAACCTTCCTTCAGAAAGAGCAGATTTGAAACACTCTTTTTGTGGAGTTTCCATGTGGAGATTTCAATCGCTTTGAGACCAAAGGTAGAAAAGGAAACATCTTCGTATAAAAACTAGACAGAATCATTCACAGAAACTACTTTGTGATGTGTGTGTTCAACTCAAGGAGTTTAACCTTTCTTTTGATGGAGCAGTTTGGAAATACTCTGTCTGTAAAGTCTGCAAGCAGATATTTGGACCTCTTTGAGGCCTTCGTTGGAAACGGGATTTCTTCATATAATGTTTGATAGGAGAAGTCTCAGTAACTTCTTTGTGCTGTGTGTATTCAACTCATAGAGTTGAACTTTCCTTTAGAAGAGCAGATGTTAAACACCCTGTTTGTGGAATTTGCAGCTGGAGATTTCAAGCGCTTTGAGGCCTACGGTAGAAAAGGAAACATCTTATAAAATCTAGACAGAATCATTCACAGAAACTTCTTTTTGATGTGTGTGTTCAGCTCACAGAGTTTAACCTTTCTTTTGATGGAGCAGTTTGGAAACACTCTGTTTGTAATGTCTGCAAGTGGATATTTGGACCTCTTTGAGGCCTTCGTTGGAAACGGGATTTTTTCATGTAATATTCGACAGAAGTAATTCTCAGTAACTTATTTGTGGTGTGTGTATTCAACTCACAGAGTTGAACCTTCCTTTAGACAGAGCAGATTTGAAACACCCTATTTGTGCAGTTTCCAGTTGGAGATTTCAATCGCTTTGAGACCAAATGTAGAAAAGGAAACATCTTCGTATAAAAACTGGACAGAATCATTCTCAGAAACTACTTTGTGATGTGTGCGTTCAACTCAAGGAGTTTAAGCTTTCTTTTCATAGAGTAGTTTGGAAACACTCTGTCTGTAAAGTCTGCAAGCAGATATTTGGACCTCTTTGAGGCCTTCGTTGGAAACGGGATTTCTTCATAGAACGGTAGAAAGAAGAATACTGAGTAAGTTCTTTGTGTTGCCTCTATTCAACTCACAGAGGTGAACTGTCCTTTAGACAGAGCAGATGTGAAACCCTCTTTTTGTGATATTTGCAGGTGGAGATTTCAAGCGCTTTTAGGCCAAATGTAGAAAAGGAAATATCTTCTTATAAAAACTAGACAGAATCATTCTCAGAAACTACTTTGTGATGTGTGCGTTCAATTCACAGAGTATAACCTTTCTTTTGATGGAGGAGTTTGGAGACACTGTCTTTGTAAAGTCTGCAAGTGGATATTTGGACCTCTTTGAGGCCTTCGTTGGAAACGGGATTTCCTCATATAATGTTACACAGAAGAATTCTCAGTAACTTATTTGTGGTGTGTGTATTCAACTCAAAGAGATGAACCTTCCTTCAGAAAGAGCAGATTTGAAACACTCTTTTTGTGGTGTTTCCATGTGGAGATTTCAATCGCTTTGAGACCAAAGGTAGAAAAGGAAACATCTTCGTATAAAAACTAGACAGAATCATTCACAGAAACTACTTTGTGATGTGTGTGTTCAACTCAAGGAGTTTAACCTTTCTTTTGATGGAGCAGTTTGGAAACACTCTGTCTGTAAAGTCTGCAAGCAGATATTTGGACCTCTTTGAGGCCTTCGTTGGAAACGGGATTTCTTCATATAATGTTTGATAGGAGAAGTCTCAGTAACTTCTTTGTGCTGTGTGTATTCAACTCATAGAGTTGAACTTTCCTTTAGAAGAGCAGATGTTAAACACCCTTTTTGTGGAATTTGCAGCTGGAGATTTCAAGCACTTTGAGGCCTACGGTAGAAAAGGAAACATCTTCTTATAAAATCTAGACAGAATCATTCACAGAAACTTCTTTTTGATGTGTGTGTTCAGCTCACAGAGTTTACCCTTTCTTTTGATGGAGCAGTTTGGAAACACTCTGTAATGTCTGCAAGTGGACATTAGGACCTCTTTGAGGCCTTCGTTGGAAACGGGATTGCTTCATGTAATGTTCAACAGAAGAATTCTCAGTAACTTAGTGTGGTGTGTGTATTCAACTCACAGAGTTGAACCTTCCTTCAGACAGAGCAGATTTGAAACACCCTATTTGTGCAGTTTCCAGTTGGAGATTTCAATCGCTTTGAGACCAAATGTAGAAAAGGAAACATCTTCGTATAAAAACTAGACAGAGAATCATTCTCAGAAACTACTTTGTGATATGTGCGTTCAACTCAAGGAGTTTAAGCTTTCTTTTCATAAAGTTGTTTGGAAACACTCTGTCTGTAAAGTCTGCAAGCAGATATTTGGACCTCTTTGAGGCCTTCGTTGGAAACGGGTTTTCTTCATGGAACGCTAGAAAGAAGAATCCTGAGTAAGTTCTTTGTGTTGCCTCTATTCAACTCACAGAGGTGAACTGTCCTTTAGACAGAGCAGATGTGAAACCCTCTTTTTGTGATATTTGCAGGTGGAGATTTCAAGCGCTTTTAGGCCAAATGTAGAAAAGGAAATATCTTCGTATTAAAACTAGACAGAATCATTCTCAGAAACTACTTTGTGATGTGTGCCTTCAATTCACAGAGTATAACCTTTCTTTTGATGGACGAGTTTGGAGACACTGTCTTTGTAAAGTCTGCAAGTGGATATTTGGACCTCTTTGAGGCCTTCGTTGGAAACGGGATTTCCTCATATAATGTTACACAGAAGAATTCTCAGTAACTTATTTGTGGTGTGTGTATTCAACTCACAGAGTTGAACCTTCCTTCAGAAAGAGCAGATTTGAAACTCTCTTTTTGTGGAGTTTCCATGTGGAGATTTCAATCGCTTTGAGACCAAAGGTAGAAAAGGAAACATCTTCGTATAAAAACTAGACAGAATCATTCACAGAAACTACTTTGTGAAGTGTGTGTTCAACTCAAGGAGGTTAACCTTTCTTTTGATGGAGCAGTTTGGAAACACTCTGTCTGTAAAGCCTGCAAGCAGATATTTGGACCTCTTTGTGGCCTTCGTTGGAAACGGGATTTCTTCATATAACGCTAGAAAGAAGAATACTCAGTAACTTCTTTGTGTTGCCTCTATTCAGCTCACAGAGGTGAACTGTCTTTAGACAGAGCAGATGTGAAACCCTCTTTTTGTGATATTTGCAGGTGGAGATTTCAAGCGCTTTTAGGCCAAATGTAGAAAAGGAAATATCTTCGTATAAAAACTAGACAGAATCATTCTCAGAAACTACTTTGTGATGTGTGCGTTCAATTCACAGAGTATAACCTTTCTTTTGATGGAGGAGTTTGGAGACACTGTCTTTGTAAAATCTGCAAGTGGATATTTGGACCTCTTTGAGGCCTTCGTTGGAAACGGGATTTCCTCATATAATGTTACACAGAAGAATTCTCAGTAACTTATTTGTGGTGTGTGTATTCAACTCACAGAGTTGAACCTTCCTTCAGAAAGAGCAGATTTGAAACACTCTTTTTGTGGAGTTTCCATGTGGAGATTTCAATCGCTTTGAGACCAAAGGTAGAAAAGGAAACATCTTCGTATAAAAACTAGACAGAATCATTTACAGAAACTACTTTGTGATGTGTGTGTTCAACTCAAGGAGTTTAACCTTTCTTTTGATGGAGCAGTTTGGAAACACTCTGTCTGTAAAGTCTGCAAGCAGACATTTGGACCTCTTTGAGGCCTTCGTTGGAAACGGGATTTCTTCATATAATGTTTGATAGGAGAAGTCTCAGTAACTTCTTTGTGCTGTGTGTATTCAACTCATAGAGTTGAACTTTCCTTTAGAAGAGCAGATGTTAAACACCCTTTTTGTGGAATTTGCAGCTGGAGATTTCAAGCGCTTTGAGGCCTACGGTAGAAAAGGAAACATCTTCTTATAAAATCTAGACAGAATCATTCACAGAAACTTCTTTTTGATGTGTGTGTTCAGCTCACAGAGTTTAACCTTTCTTTTGATGGAGCAGTTTGGAAACACTCTGTTTGTAATGTCTGCAAGTGGATATTTGGACCTCTTTGAGGCCTTCGCTGGAAACGGGATTTCTTCCTGTAATGTTCGACAGAAGAATTCTCAGTAACTTATTTGTGGTGTGTGTATTCAACTCAAAGAGTTGAACCTTCCTTTAGACAGAGCAGATTTGAAACACCCTATTTGTGCAGTTTCCAGTTGGAGATTTCAATCGCTTTGAGACCAAATGTAGAAAAGGAAACATCTTCGTATAAAAACTAGACAGAATCATTCTCAGAAACTACTTTGTGATGTGTGCGTTCAACTCAAGGAGTTTAAGCTTTCTTTTCATAGAGTAGTTTGGAAACACTCTGTCTGTAAAGTCTGCAAGCAGATATTTTGACCTCTTTGGGGCCTTCGTTGGAAACGGGATTTCTTCATAGAACGCTAGAAAGAAGAATACTGAGTAAGTTCTTTGTGTTGCCTCTATTCAACTCACAGAGGTGAACTGTCCTTTAGACAGAGCAGATGTGAAACCCTCTTTTTGTGATATTTGCAGGTGGAGATTTCAAGCACTTTTAGGCCAAATGTAGAAAAGGAAATATCTTCGTATAAAAACTAGACAGAATCATTCTCAGAAAGTACTTTGTGATGTGTGCATTCAATTCACAGAGTATAACCTTTCTTTTGATGGACGAGTTTGGAGACACTGTCTTTGTAAAGTCTGCAAGTGGATATTTGGACCTGCTTTGAGGCCTTCGTTGGAAACGGGATTTCCTCATATAATGTTACACAGAAGAATTCTCAGTAACTTATTTGTGGTGTGTGTATTCAACTCACAGAGTTGAACCTTCCTTCAGAAAGAGCAGATTTGAAACACTCTTTTTGTGGAGTTTCCATGTGGAGATTTCAATCGCTTTGAGACCAAAGGTAGAAAAGGAAACATCTTCGTATAAAAACTAGACAGAATCATTCACAGAAACTACTTTGTGATGTGTGTGTTCAACTCAAGGAGGTTAACCTTTCTTTTGATGGAGCAGTTTGGAAACACTCTGTCTGTAAAGTCTGCAAGCAGATATTTGGACCTCTTTGAGGCCTTCGTTGGAAACGGGATTTCTTCATATAATGTTTGATAGGAGAAGTCTCAGTAACTTCTTTGTGCTGTGTGTATTCAACTCATAGAGTTGAACTTTCCTTTAGAAGAGCAGATGTTAAACACCCTTTTTGTGGAATTTGCAGCTGGAGATTTCAAGCGCTTTGAGGCCTACGGTAGAAAAGGAAACATCTTCTTATAAAATCTAGACAGAATCATTCACAGAAACTTCTTTTCGATGTGTGTGTTCAGCTCACAGAGTTTAACCTTTCTTTTGATGGAGCAGTTTGGAAACACTCTGTTTGTAATGTCTGCAAGTGGATATTTGGACCTCTTTGAGGCCTTCATTGGAAACGGGATTTCTTCAAGTAATGGTCGACACAAGAATTCTCAGTAACTTATTTGTGGTGTGTGTATTCAACTCACAGAGTTGAACCTTCCTTTAGACAGAGCAGATTTGAAACACCCTATTTGTGCAGTTTCCAGTTGGAGATTTCAATCGCTTTGAGACCAAATGTAGAAAAGGAAACATCTTCGTATAAAAACTAGACAGAAATCATTCTCAGAAACTACTTTGTGATGTGTGCGTTCAACTCAAGGAGTTTAAGCTTTCTTTTCATAGAGTAGTTTGGAAACACTCTGTAAAGTCTGCAAGCAGATATGTGGACATCTTTGAGGCCTTCGTTGGAAACGGGATTTCTTCATAGAACGCTAGAAAGAAGAATACTGAGTAAGTTCTTTGTGTTGCCTCTATTCAACTCACAGCAGGTGAACTGTCCTTTAGACAGAGCAGATGTGAAACCCTCTTTTTGTGATATTTGCAGGTGGAGATTTCAAGCGCTTTTAGGCCAAATGTAGAAAAGGAAATATCTTCGTATAAAAACTAGACAGAATCATTCTCAGAAACTACTTTGTGATGTGTGCGTTCAATTCACAGAGTATAACCTTTCTTTTGATGGAGGAGTTTGGAGACACTGTCTTTGTAAAGTCTGCAAGTGGATATTTGGACCTCTTTGAGGCCTTCGTTGGAAACGGGATTTCCTCATATAATGTTACACAGAAGAATTCTCAGTAACTTATTTGTGGTGTGTGTATTCAACTCACAGATTTGAACCTTCCTTCAGAAAGAGCAGATTTGAAACACTCTTTTTGTGGAGTTTCCATGTGGAGATTTCAATCACTTTGAGACCAAAGGTAGAAAAGGAAACATCTTCGTATAAAAACTAGACAGAATCATTCACAGAAACTACTTTGTGATGTGTGTGTTCAACTCAAGGAGTTTAACCTTTCTTTTGATGGAGCAGTTTGGAAACACACTGTCTGTAAAGTCTGCAAGCAGATATTTGGACCTCTTTGAGGCCTTCGTTGGAAACGGGATTTCTTCATATAATGTTTGATAGGAGAAGTCTCAGTAACTTCTTTGTGCTGTGTGTATTCAACTCATAGAGTTGAACTTTCCTTTAGAAGAGCAGATGTTAAACACCCTTTTTGTGGAATTTGCAGCTGGAGATTTCAAGCGCTTTGAGGCCTACGGTAGAAAAGGAAACATCTTCTTATAAAATCTAGACAGAATCATTCACAGCAAACTTCTTTTTGATGTGTGTGTTCAGCTCACAGAGTTTAACCTTTCTTTTGATGGAGCAGTTTGGAAACACTCTGTTTGTAATGTCTGCAAGTGGATATTTGGACCTCTTTGAGGCCTTCGTTGGGAAAGGGATTTCTTCATGTAATGTTCGACAGAAGAATTCTCAGTAACTTATTTGTGGTGTGTGTATTCAACTCACAGAGTTGAACCTTCCTTTAGACAGAGCAGATTTGAAACACCCTATTTGTGCAGTTTCCAGTTGGAGATTTCAATCGCTTTGAGACCAAATGTAGAAAAGGAAACATCTGCGTATAAAAACTAGACAGAATCATTCTCAGAAACTACTTTGTGATGTGTGCGTTCAACTCAAGCAGTTTAAGCTTTCTTTTCATAGAGTAGTTTGGAAACACTCTGTCTGTAAAGTCTGCAAGCAGATATTTGACCTCTTTGAGGCCTTCATTGGAAACGGGATTTCTTCATAGAACGCTAGAAAGAAGAATACTCAGTAAGTTCTTTGTGTTGCCTCTATTCAACTCACAGGGGTGAACTGTCCTTTAGACAGAGCAGATGTGAAACCCTCTTTTTGTGATATTTACAGGTGGAGATTTCAAGCGCTTTTAGGCCAAATGTAGAAAAGGAAATATCTTCGTATAAAAACTAGACAGAAATCATTCTCAGAAACTACTTTGTGATGTGTGCGTTCAATTCACAGAGTATAACCTTTCTTTTGATGGAAGAGTTTGGAGACACTGTCTTTGTAAAGTCTGCAAGTGGATATTTGGACCTCTTTGAGGCCTTCGTTGGACACGGGATTTCTTCCTGTAATGTTCGACAGAAGAATTCTCAGTAACTTATTTGTGGTGTGTTTATTCAACTCACAGAGGTGAACCTTCCTTCAGAAAGAGCAGATTTGAAACACTCTTTTTGTGGAGTTTCCATGTGGAGATTTCAATCGCTTTGAGACCAAAGGTAGAAAAGGAAACATCTTCGTATAAAAACTAGACAGAATCATTCACAGAAACTACTTTGTGATGTGTGTGTTCAACTCAAGGAGTTTAACTTTTCTTTTGATGGAGCAGTTTGGAAACACTCTGTCTGTAAAGTCTGCAAGTAGATATTTTGACCTCTTTGAGGCCTTCGTTGGAAACGGGATTTCTTCATATAATGTTTGATAGGAGGAGTCTCAGTAACTTCTTTGTGCTGTGTGTATTCAACTCATAGAGTTGAACTTTCCTTTAGAAGAGCAGATGTTAAACACCCTTTTTGTGGAATTTGCAGCTGGAGATTTCAAGCGCTTTGAGGCCTACGGTAGAAAAGGAAACATCTTCTTATAAAATCTAGACAGAATCATTCACAGAAACTTCTTTTTGATGTGTGTGTTCAGCTCACAGAGTTTAACCTTTCTTTTGATGGAGCAGTTTGGAAACACACTGTTTATAATGTCTGCAAGTGGATATTTGGACGTCTTTGAGGCCTTCGTTGGAAACGGGATTTCTTCATATAATGTTTGATAGGAGAATTCTCAGTAACTTATTTGTGGTGTGTGTATTCAACTCACAGAGTTGAACCTTCCTTTAGACAGAGCAGATTTGAAACACCCTATTTGTGCAGTTTCCAGTTGGAGATTTCAATCGCTTTGAGACCAAATGTAGAAAAGGAAACATCTTCGTATAAAAACTAGACAGAAATCATTCTCCGAAACTACTTTGTGATGTGTGCGTTCAACTCAAGGAGTTTAAGCTTTCTTTTCATAGAGTAGTTTGGAAACACTCTGTCTGTAAAGTCTGCAAGCAGATATTTGGACCTCTTTGGGGCCTTCGTTGGAAACGGGATTTCTTCATAGAACGCTAGAAAGAAGAATACTGAGTAAGTTCTTTGTGTTGCCTCTATTCAACTCACAGAGGTGAACTGTCCTTTAGACAGAGCAGATGTGAAACCCTCTTTTTGTGATATTTGCAGGTGGAGATTTCAAGCGCTTTTAGGCCAAATGTAGAAAAGGAAATATCTTCGTATAAAAACTAGGCAGAATCATTCTCAGAAACTACTTTGTGATGTGTGCGTTCAATTCACAGAGTATAACCTTTCTTTTGATGGAGGAGTTTGGAGACACTGTCTTTGTAAAGTCTGCAAGTGGATATTTGGACCTCTTTGAGGCCTTCGTTGGAAACGGGATTTCCTCATATAATGTTACCCAGAAGAATTCTCAGTAACTTATTTGTGGTGTGTGTATTCAACTCACAGATTTGAACCTTCCTTCAGAAAGAGCAGATTTGAAACACTCTTTTTGTGGAGTTTCCATGTGGAGATTTCAATCACTTTGAGACCAAAGGTAGAAAAGGAAACATCTTCGTATAAAAACTAGACAGAATCATTCACAGAAACTACTTTGTGATGTGTGTGTTCAACTCAAGGAGTTTAACCTTTCTTTTGATGGAGCAGTTTGGAAACACTCTGTCTGTAAAGTCTGCAAGCAGATATTTGGACCTCTTTGAGGCCTTCGTTGGAAACGGGATTTCTTCATATAATGTTTGATAGGAGAAGTCTCAGTAACTTCTTTGTCCTGTGTGTATTCAACGCATAGAGTTGAACTTTCCTTTAGAAGAGCAGATGTAAAACACCCTTTTTGTGGAATTTGCAGGTGGAGATTTCAAGCGCTTTGAGGCCTACGGTAGAAAAGGAAACATCTTCTT
Organism: Homo sapiens; assembly: GCF_000001405.40. NCBI lineage: Eukaryota > Metazoa > Chordata > Mammalia > Primates > Hominidae > Homo > Homo sapiens. Next base: position 36,980,075 of record NC_000012.12, read on the forward strand.
ACAAAATCTAGACAGAATCATTCACAGAAACTTCTTTTTGATGTGTGTGTTCAGCTCACAGAGTTTAACCTTTCTTTTGATGGAGCAGTTTGGAAACACTCTGTTTGTAATGTCTGCAAGTGGATATTTGGACGTCTTTGAGGCCTTCGTTGGAAACGGGATTTCTTCATGTAATGTTCGACAGAAGAATTCTCAGTAACTTATTTGTGGTGTGTGTATTCAACTCAAAGAGTTGAACCTTCCTTTAGACAGAGCAGATTTGAAACACCCTATTTGTGCAGTTTCCAGTTGGAGATTTCAATCGCTTTGAGACCAAATGTAGAAAAGGAAACATCTTCGTATAAAAACTAGACAGAATCATTCTCAGAAACTACTTTGTGATGTGTGCGTTCAACTCAAGGAGTTTAAGCTTTCTTTTCATAGAGTAGTTTGGAAACACTCTGTCTGTAAAGTCTGCAAGCAGATATTTGGACCTCTTTGGGGCCTTCGTTGGAAACGGGATTTCTTCATAGAACGCTAGAAAGAAGAATACTGAGTAAGTTCTTTGTGTTGCCTCTATTCAACTCACAGAGGTTAACTGTCCTTTAGACAGAGCAGATGTGAAACCCTCTTTTTGTGATATTTGCAGGTGGAGATTTCAAGCGCTTTGAGGCCAAATGTAGAAAAGGAAATATCTTCGTATAAAAACTAGACAGAATCATTCTCAGAAACTACTTTGTGATGTGTGCCGTTCAATTCACAGAGTATAACCTTTCTTTTGATGGAGGAGTTTGGAGACACTGTCTTTGTAAAGTCTGCAAGTGGATATTTGGATCTCTTTGAGGCCTTCGTTGGAAACGGGATTTCCTCATATAATGTTACACAGAAGAATTCTCAGTAACTTATTTGTGGTGTGTGTATTCAACTCACAGAGATGAACCTTCCTTCAGAAAGAGCAGATTTGAAACACTCTTTTTGTGGAGTTTCCATGTGGAGATTTCAATCGCTTTGAGACCAAAGGTAGAAAAGGAAACATCTTCGTATAAAAACTAGACAGAATCATTCACAGAAACTACTTTGTGATGTGTGTGTTCAACTCAAGGAGTTTAACCTTTCTTTTGATGGAGCAGTTTGGAAACACTCTGTCTGTAAAGTCTGCAAGCAGATATTTGGACCTCTTTGAGGCCTTCGTTGGAAACGGGATTTCTTCATATAATGTTTGATAGGAGAAGTCTCAGTAACTTCTTTGTGCTGTGTGTATTCAACTCATAGAGTTGAACTTTCCTTTAGAAGAGCAGATGTTAAACACCCTTTTTGTGGAATTTGCAGCTGGAGATTTCAAGCGCTTTGAGGCCTACGGTAGAAAAGGAAACATCTTCTTATAAAATCTAGACAGAATCATTCACAGAAACTTCTTTTTGATGTGTGTTCAGCTCACAGAGTTTAACCTTTCTTTTGATGGAGCAGTTTGGAAACACACTGTTTGTAATGTCTGCAAGTGGATATTTGGACCTCTTTGAGGCCTTCGTTGGAAACGGGATTTCTTCATGTAATGTTCGACAGAAGAATTCTCAGTAACTTATTTGTGGTGTGTGTATTCAACTCAAAGAGTTGAACCTTCCTTTAGACAGAGCAGATTTGAAACACCCTATTTGTGCAGTTTCCAGTTGGAGATTTCAATCGCTTTGAGACCAAATGTAGAAAAGGAAACATCTTCGTATAAAAACTAGACAGAATCATTCTCAGAAACTACTTTGTGATGTGTGCGTTCAACTCAAGGAGTTTAAGCTTTCTTTTCATAGAGTAGTTTGGAAACACTCTGTCTGTAAAGTCTGCAAGCAGATATTTGACCTCTTTGAGGCCTTCGTTGGAAACGGGATTTCTTCATAGAATGCTAGAAAGAAGAATACTGAGTAAGTTCTTTGTGTTGCCTCTATTCAACTCACAGAGGTGAACTGTCCTTTAGACAGAGCAGATGTGAAACCCTCTTTTTGTGATATTTGCAGGTGGAGATTTCAAGCGCTTTTAGGCCAAATGTAGAAAAGGAAATATCTTCGTATAAAAACTAGACAGAATCATTCTCAGAAACTACTTTGTGATGTGTGCGTTCAATTCACAGAGTATAACCTTTCTTTTGATGGAGGAGTTTGGAGACACTGTCTTTGTAAAGTCTGCAAGTGGATATTTGGACCTCTTTGAGGCCTTCGTTGGAAACGGGATTTCCTCATATAATGTTACACAGAAGAATTCTCAGTAACTTATTTGTGGTGTGTGTATTCAACTCACAAAGATGAACCTTCCTTCAGAAAGAGCAGATTTGAAACACTCTTTTTGTGGAGTTTCCATGTGGAGATTTCAATCGCTTTGAGACCAAAGGTAGAAAAGGAAACATCTTCGTATAAAAACTAGACAGAATCATTCACAGAAACTACTTTGTGATGTGTGTGTTCAACTCAAGGAGTTTAATCTTTCTTTTGATGGAGCAGTTTGGAAACACTCTGTCTGTAAAGTCTGCAAGCAGATATTTGGACCTCTTTGAGGCCTTCGTTGGAAACGGGATTTCTTCATATAATGTTTGATGGGAGAAGTCTCAGTAACTTCTTTGTGCTGTGTGTATTCAACTCATAGAGTTGAACTTTCCTTTAGAAGAGCAGATGTTAAACACCCTTTTTGTGGAATTTGCAGCTGGAGATTTCAAGCGCTTTGAGGCCTACGGTAGAAAAGGAAACATCTTCTTATAAAATCTAGACAGAATCATTCACAGAAACTTCTTTTTGATGTGTGTGTTCAGCTCACAGAGTTTAACCTTTCTTTTGATGGAGCAGTTTGGAAACACTCTGTTTGTAATGTCTGCAAGTGGATATTTGGACCTCTTTGAGGCCTTCGTTGGAAACGGGATTTCTTCAAGTAATGTTCGGGAGAAGAATTCTCAGTAACTTATTTGTGGTGTGTGTATTCAACTCACAGAGTTGAACCTTCTTTAGACAGAGCAGATTTGAAACACCCTATTTGTGCAGTTTCCAGTTGGAGATTTCAATCGCTTTGAGACCAAATGTAGAAAAGGAAACATCTTCGTATAAAAACTAGACAGAATCATTCTCAGAAACTACTTTGTGATGTGTGCGTTCAACTCAAGAAGTTTAAGCTTTCTTTTCATAGAGTAGTTTGGAAACACTCTGTCTGTAAAGTCTGCAAGCAGATATTTGGACCTCATTGGGGCCTTCGTTGGAAACGGGATTTCTTCATAGAACGCTAGAAAGAAGAATACTGAGTAAGTTCTTTGTGTTGCCTCTACTCAACTCACAGAGGTGAACTGTCCTTTAGACAGAGCAGATGTGAAACCCTCTTTTTGTGATATTTGCAGGTGGAGATTTCAAGCGCTTTTAGGCCAAATGTAGAAAAGGAAATATCTTCGTATAAAAACTAGACAGAATCATTCTCAGAAACTACTTTGTGATGTGTGCGTTCAATTCACAGAGTATAACCTTTCTTTTGATGGAGGAGTTTGGAGACCCTGTCTTTGTAAAGTCTGCAAGTGGATATTTGGACCTCTTTGAGGCCTTCGTTGGAAACGGGATTTCCTCATATAATGTTACACAGAAGAATTCTCAGTAACTTATTTGTGGTGTGTGTATTCAACTCACAGAGTTGAACCTTCCTTCAGAAAGAGCAGATTTGAAACACCCTTTTTGTGGAGTTTCCATGTGGAGATTTCAATCGCTTTGAGACCAAAAGTACAAAAGGAAACATCTTCGTATAAAAACTAGACAGAATCATTCTCAGAAACTACTTTGTGATGAGTGCGTTCAATTCACAGTGTATAATATTTCTTTTGATGGAGGAGTTTGGAGACACTGTCTTTGTAAAGTCTGCAAGCAGATATTTGGACCTCTTTGGGGCCATCGTTGGAAACGGGATTTCTTCATATAATGTTTGATAGGAGAAGTCTCAGTAACTTCTTTGTGCTGTGTGTATTCAACTCATAGAGTTGAACTTTCCTTTAGAAGAGCAGATGTTAAACACCCTTTTTGTGGAATTTGCAGCTGGAGATTTCAAGCGCTTTGAGGCCTATGGTAGAAAAGGAAACATCTTCTTATAATATCTAGACAGAATCATTCACAGAAACTTCTTTTTGATGTGTGTGTTCAGCTCACAGAGTTTAACCTTTCTTTTGATGGAGCAGTTTGGAAACACTCTGTTTGTAATGTCTGCAAGTGGATATTTGGACCTCTTTGAGGCCTTCGTTGGAAACGGGATTTCTTCAAGTAATGTTCGACAGAAGAATTCTCAGTAACTTATTTGTGGTGTGTGTATTCAACTCACAGAGTTGAACCTTCCTTTAGACAGAGCAGATTTGAAACACCCTATTTGTGCAGTTTCCAGTTGGAGATTTCAATCGCTTTGAGACCAAATGTAGAAAAGGAAACATCTTCGTATAAAAACTAGACAGAATCATTCTCAGAAACTACTTTGTGATGTGTGCGTTCAACTCAAGGAGTTTAAGCTTTCTTTTCATAGAGTAGTTTGGAAACACTCTGTCTGTAAAGTCTGCAAGCAGATATTTGACCTCTTTGAGGCCTTCGTTGGAAACGGGATTTCTTCATAGAACGCTAGAAAGAAGAATATTGAGTAAGTTCTATGTGTTGCCTCTATTCAACTCACAGAGGTGAACTGTCCTTTAGACAGAGCAGATGTGAAACCCTCTTTTTGCGATATTTCCACGTGGAGATTTCAAGCGCTTTTAGGCCAAATGTAGAAAAGGAAATATCTTCGTATAAAAACTAGACAGAATCATTCTCAGAAACTACTTTGTGATGTGTGCGTTCAATTCACAGAGTATAACCTTTCTTTTGATGGAGGATTTTGGAGACACTGTCTTTGTAAAGTCTGCAAGTGGATATTTGGACCTCTTTGAGGCCTTCGTTGGAAACGGGATTTCCTCATATAATGTTACACAGAAGAATTCTCAGTAACTTATTTGTGGTGTGTGTATTCAACTCACAGAGTTGAACCTTCCTTTAGACAGAGCAGATTTGAAACACTCTTTTTGTGGAGTTTCCATGTGGAGATTTCAATCGCTTTGAGACCAAAGGTAGAAAAGGAAACATCTTCGTATAAAAACTAGACAGAATCATTCACAGAAACTACTTTGTGATGTGTGTGTTCAACTCAAGGAGTTTAACCTTTCTTTTGATGGAGCAGTTTGGAAACACTCTGTCTGTAAAGTCTGCAAGCAGATATTTGGACCTCTTTGAGGCCTTCGTTGGAAACGGGATTTCTTCATGTAATGTTTGATAGGAGAAGTCTCAGTAACTTCTTTGTGCTGTGTGTATTCAACTCATAGAGTTGAACTTTCCTTTAGAAGAGCAGATGTTAAACACCCTTTTTGTGGAATTTGCAGCTGGAGATTTCAAGCGCTTTGAGGCCTACGGTAGAAAAGGAAACATCTTCTTATAATATCTAGACAGAATCATTCACAGAAACTTCTTTTTGATGTGTGTGTTCAGCTCACAGAGTTTAACCTTTCTTTTGATGGAGCAGTTTGGAAACACTCTGTTTGTAATGTCTGCAAGTGGATATTTGGACCGCTTTGAGGCCTTCGTTGGAAACGGGATTTCTTCAAGTAATGTTCGACAGAAGAATTCTCAGTAACTTATTTGTGGTGTGTGTATTCAACTCACAGAGTTGAACCTTCCTTTAGACAGAGCAGATTTGAAACACCCTATTTGTGCAGTATCCAGTTGGAGATTTCAATCGCTTTGAGACCAAATGTAGAAAAGGAAACATCTTCGTATAAAAAGTAGACAGAATCATTCTCAGAAACTACTTTGTGATGTGTGCGTTCAACTCAAGGAGTTTAAGCTTTCTTTTCATAGAGTAGTTTGGAAACACTCTGTCTGTAAAGTCTGCAAGCAGATATTTAGACCTCTTTGAGGCCTTCGTTGGAAACGGGATTTCTTCAAGTAATGTTCGACAGAAGAATACTGAGTAAGTTCTTTGTGTTGCCTCTATTCAACTCACAGAGGTGAACTGTCCATTAGACAGAGCAGATGTGAAACCCTCTTTTTGTGATATTTGCAGGTGGAGATTTCAAGCGCTTTTAGGCCAAATGTAGGAAAGGAAATATCTTCGTATAAAAACTAGACAGAATCATTCTCAGAAACTACTTTGTGATGTGTGCGTTCAATTCACAGAGTATAACCTTTCTTTTGATGGAGGAGTTTGGAGACACTGTCTTTGTAAAGTCTGCAAGTGGATATTTGGACCTCTTTGAGGCCTTTGTTGGAAACGGGATTTCCTCATATAATGTTACACAGGGAGAATTCTCACTAACTTATTTGTGGTGTGTGTATTCAACTCACAGAGATGAACCTTCCTTCAGAAAGAGCAGATTTGAAACACTCTTTTTGTGGAGTTTCCATGTGGAGATTTCAATCGCTTTGAGACCAAAGGTAGAAAAGGAAACATCTTCGTATAACAACTAGACAGAATCATTCACAGAAACTACTTTGTGATGTGTGTGTTCAACTCAAGGAGTTTAACCTTTCTTTTGATGGAGCAGTTTGGAAACACTCTGTCTGTAAAGTCTGCAAGCAGATATTTGGACCTCTTTGAGGCCTTCGATGGAAACGGGATTTCTTCATATAATGTTTGATAGGACAAGTCTCAGTAACTTCTTTGTGCTGTGTGTATTCAACTCATAGGGTTGAACTTTCCTTTAGAAGAGCAGATGTTAAACACCCTTTTTGTGGAATTTGCAGCTGGAGATTTCAAGCGCTTTGAGGCCTACGGTAGAAAAGGAAACATCTTCTTATAAAATCTAGACAGAATCATTCACAGAAACTTCTTTTTGATGTGTGTGTTCAGCTCACAGAGTTTAACCTTTCTTTTGATGGAGCAGTTTCGAAACACTCTGTTTGTAATGTCTGCAAGTGGATATTTGGACCTCTTTGAGGTCTTTGTTGGAAACGGGATTTCTTCAAGTAATGTTCGACAGAAGAATTCTCAGTAACTTATTTGTGGTGTGTGTATTCAACTCACAGAGTTGAACCTTCCTTTAGACAGAGCAGATTTGAAACACCCTATTTGTGCAGTTTCCAGTTGGAGATTTCAATCGCTTTGAGACCAAATGTAGAAAAGGAAACATCTTCGTATAAAAACTAGACAGAATCATTCTCAGAAACTACTTTGTGATGTGTGCTGTTCAACTCAAGGAGTTTAAGCTTTCTTTTCATAGAGTAGTTTGGAAACACTCTGTCTGTAAAGTCTGCAAGCAGATATTTGGACCTCTTTGGGGCCTTCGTTGGAAACGGGATTTCTTCATAGAACGCTAGAAAGAAGAATACTGAGTAAGTTCTTGGTGTTGCCTCTATTCAACTCACAGAAGTGAACTGTCCTTTAGACAGAGCAGATGTGAAACCCTCTTTTTGTGATATTTGCAGGTGGAGATTTCAAGCGCTTTTAGGCCAAATGTAGAAAAGGAAATATCTTCGTATAAAAACTAGACAGAACCATTCTCAGAAACTACTTTGTGATGTGTGCATTCAATTCACAGACTATAACCTTTCTATTGATGGAGGAGTTTGGAGACACTGTCTTTGTAAAGTCTGCAAGTGGATATTTGGACCTCTTTGAGGCCTTCGTTGGAAACGGGATTTCCTCATATAATGTTACACAGAAGAATTCTCAGTAACTTATTTGTGGTGTGTGTATTCAACTCACAGAGTTGAACCTTCCTTCAGAAAGAGCAGATTTGAAACACTCTTTTTGTGGAGTTTCCATGTGGAGATTTCAATCGATTTGAGACCAAAGGTAGAAAAGGAAACATCTTCGTATAAAAACTAGACAGAATCATTCACAGAAACTACTTTGTGATGTGTGTGTTCAACTCAAGGAGTTTAACCTTTCTTTTGATGGAGCAGTTTGGAAACACTCTGTCTGTAAAGTCTGCAAGTAGATATTTGGACCTCTTTGAGGCCTTCGTTGGAAACGGGATTTCTTCATATAATGTTTGATAGGAGAAGTCTCAGTAACTTCTTTGTGCTGTGTGTATTCAACTCATAGAGTTGAACTTTCCTTTAGAAGAGCAGATGTTAAACACCCTTTTTGTGGAATTTGCAGTTGGAGATTTCAAGCGCTTTGAGGACTACAGTAGAAAAGGAAACATCTTCTTATAAAATCTGGACAGAATCATTCACAGAAACTTCTTTTTGATGTGTGTGTTCAGCTCACAGAGTTTAACCTTTCTTTTGATGGAGCAGTTTGGAAAACACTCTGTTTGTAATGTCTGCAAGTGGATATTTGGACCTCTTTGAGGCCTTCGTTGGAAACGGGATTTCTTCCTGTAATGTTTGACAGAAGAATTCTCAGTAACTTATTTGTGGTGTGTGTATTCAACTCACAGAGTTGAACCTTCCTTTAGACAGAGCAGATTTGAAACACCCTATTTGTGCAGTTTCCAGTTGGAGATTTCAATCGCTTTGAGACCAAATGTAGAAAAGGAAACATCTTCGTATAAAAACTAGACAGAATCATTCTCCGAAACTACTTTGTGATGTGTGCGTTCAACTCAAGGAGTTTAAGCTTTCTTTTCATAGAGTAGTTTGGAAACACTCTGTCTGTAAAGTCTGCAAGCAGATATTTGGACCTCTTTGGGGCCTTCGTTGGAAACGGGATTTCTTCATAGAACGCTAGAAAGAAGAATACTGAGTAAGTTCTTTGTGTTGCCTCTATTCAACTCACAGAGGTGAACTGTCCTTTAGAAAGAGCAGATGTGAAACCCTCTTTTTGTGATATTTGCAGGTGGAGATTTCAAGCGCTTTTAGGCCAAATGTAGAAAAGGAAATATCTTCGTATAAAAACTAGACAGAATCATTCTCAGAAACTACTTTGTGATGTGTGCGTTCAATTCACAGAGTATAACCTTTCTTTTGATGGAGGAGTTTGGAGACACTGTCTTTGTAAAGTCTGCAAGTGGATATTTGGACCTCTTTGAGGCCTTCGTTGGAAACGGGATTTCCTCATATAATGTTACACAGAAGAATTCTCAGTAACTTATTTGTGGTGTGTGTATTCAACTCACAGAGATGAACCTTCCTTCAGAAAGAGCAGATTTGAAACACTCTTTTTGTGGAGTTTCCATGTGGAGATTTCAATCGCTTTGAGACCAAAGGTAGAAAAGGAAACATCTTCGTATAACAACTAGACAGAATCATTCACAGAAACTACTTTGTGATGTGTGTGTTCAACTCAAGGAGTTTAACCTTTCTTTTGATGGAGCAGTTTGGAAACACTCTGTCTGTAAAGTCTGCAAGCAGATATTTGGACCTCTTTGAGGCCTTCGTTGGAAACGGGATTTCTTCATATAATGTTTGATAGGAGAAGTCTCAGTAACTTATTTGTGCTGTCTGTATTCAACTCATGGAGTTGAACTTTCCTTAAGAAGAGCAGATGTTAAACACACTTTTTGTGGAATTTGCAGCTGTAGATTTCAAGCGCTTTGAGGCCTACGGTAGAAAAGGAAACATCTTCTTCTAAAGTCTAGATGGAATCATTCACAGAAACTTCTTTTTGATGTGTGTGTTCAGCTCACAGAGTTTAACCTTTCTTTTGATGGAGCAGTTTGGAAACACTCTGTTTGAAATGTCTGCAAGTGGATATTTGGACCTCTTTGAGGCCTTCGTTGGAAACGGGATTTCTTCATGTAATGTTCGACAGAAGAATTCTCAGTAACTTATTTGTGGTGTGTGTATTCAACTCACAGAGTTGAACCTTCCTTTAGACAGAGCAGATTTGAAACAGCCTATTTGTGCAGTTTCCAGTTGGAGATTTCAATCGCTTGGAGGCCAATCATAGAAACGGAAATATCTTCGTATAAAAACAAGACAGAATCATTCTCAGAAACTACTTTGTGATGTGTGCGTTCAACTCAAGGAGTTTAAGCTTTCTTTTCATAGAGTAGTTTGGAAACACTCTGTCTGTAAAGTCTGCAAGCAGATATTTGGACCTCTTTGAGGCCTTCGTTGGAAACGGGATTTCTTCATAGAACGCTAGAAAGAAGAATACTGAGTAAATTCTTTGTGTTGCCTCTATTCAACTCACAGAGGTGAACTGTCCTTTAGAGAGAGCAGATGTGAAACCTTCTTTTTGTGATATTTGCAGGAGGAGATTTCAAGCGCTTTTAGGCCAAATGTAGAAAAGGAAATATCTTCGTATAAAAACTAGATAGAATCATTCTCAGAAACTACTTTGTGATGTGTGCGTTCAATTCACAGAGTATAACCTTTCTTTTGATGGAGGAGTTTGGAGACACTGTCTTTGTAAAGTCTGCAAGCAGATATTTGGACCTCTTTGAGGCCTTCGTTGGAAACGGGATTTCTTCATATAATGTTTGATAGGAGAATTCTCAGTAACTTATTTTTGATGTGTGTATTCAACTCACAGAGATGAACCTTCCTTCAGAAAGAGCAGATTTGAAACACTCTTTTTGTGGAGTTTCCATGTGGAGATTTCAATCGCTTTGAGACCAAAGGTAGAAAAGGAAACATCTTCGTATAACAACTAGACAGAATCATTCACAGAAACTACTTTGTGATGTGTGTGTTCAACTCAAGGAGTTTAACCTTTCTTTTGATGGAGCAGTTTGGAAAAACTCTGTCTTTAAAGTCTGCTAGCAGATATTTGGACCTCTTTGAGGCCTTCGTTGGAAACGGGATTTCTTCATATAATGTTTGATAGGAGAAGTCTCAGTAACTTCTTTGTGCTGTGTGTATTCAACTCATAGAGTTGAACTTTCCTTTAGAAGAGCAGATGTTAAACACCCTTTTTGTGGAATTTGCAGCTGGAGATTTCAAGCGCTTTGAGGCCTACGGTAGAAAAGGAAACATCTTCTTATAAAATCTAGACAGAATCATTCACAGAAACTACTTTGTGATGTGTGTGTTCAGCTCACAGGGTTTAACCTTTCTTTTGATGGTACAGTTTGGAAACACTCTGTTTGACAAGTCTGCAAGTGGATATTTGGACCTCTTTGAGGCCTTCGTTGGAAACGTGATTTCTTCATATAACGTTAGAAAGAAGAAGTCTCAGTAACTTCTTTGTGCTGTGTGTATTCAACTCACAGAGCTGAACTTTACTTTAGACAGAGCGGATGTTAAACACATTTTTTGTGGAATTTGCAGCTGGAGATTTCTAGCGCTTTGAGGCCTATGGTAGAAAAGGAAACATCTTCTTATAAAATCTAGACAGAATCATTCACAGAAACTTCTTTTTGATGTGTGTATTCATCTCACAGAGTTTAACCTTTCTTTTGACGGAGCAGTTTGCAAACACTGTGTTTGCCATGTCGGCAAGTGGATATTTGGACCTCTTTGCGGCCTTCGTTGGAAACGGGATTTCTTCATGTAATGTTCGAGAGAAGAATTCTCAGTAACTTATTTGTGGTGTGTGTATTCAACTCACAGAGTTGAACCTTCCTTTACACAGAGCAGATTTGAAACACCCTATTTGTGCAGTTTCCAGTTGGAGATTTCAATCGCTTTGAGACCAAATGTAGAAAAGGAAACATCTTCATATAAAAACTAGACAGAATCATTCTCAGAAACTACTTTGTGATGTGTGCGTTCAACTCAAGGAGTTTAAGCTTTCTTTTCATAGAGTAGTTTGGAAACACTCTGTCTGTAAAGTCTGCAAGCAGATATTTGGACCTCTTTGAGGCCTTCGTTGGAAACGGGATTTCTTCATAGAACGCTAGAAAGAAGAATACTGAGTAAGTTCTTTGTGTTGCCTCTATTCAACTCACAGAGGTGAACTGTCCTTTAGACAGAGCAGATGTGAAACCCTCTTTTTGTGATATTTGCAGGTGGAGATTTCAAGCGCTTTTAGGCCAAATGTAGAAAAGGAAATATCTTCGTATAAAAACTAGACAGAATCATTCTCAGAAACTACTTTGTGATGTGTGCGTTCAATTCACAGAGTATAACCTTTCTTTTGATGGAGGAGTTTGGAGACACTGTCTTTGTAAAGTCTGCAAGTGGATATTTGGACCTCTTTGAGGCCTTCGTTGGAAACGGGATTTCCTCATATAATGTTACACAGAAGAATTCTCAGTAACTTATTTGTGGTGTGTGTATTCAACTCACAGAGATGAACCTTCCTTCAGAAAGAGCAGATTTGAAACACTCTTTTTGTGGAGTTTCCATGTGGAGATTTCAATCGCTTTGAGACCAAAGGTAGAAAAGGAAACATCTTCGTATAAAAACTAGACAGAATCATTCACAGAAACTACTTTGTGATGTGTGTGTTCAACTCAAGGAGGTTAACCTTTCTTTTGATGGAGCAGTTTGGAAACACTCTGTCTGTAAAGTCTGCAGGCAGATATTTGGACCTCTTTGAGGCCTTCGTTGGAAACGGGATTTCTTCATATAATGTTAGACAGAAGAAGTCTCAGTAACTTCTTTGTGCTGTGTGTATTCAACTCATAGAGTTGAACTTTCCTTTAGAAGAGCAGATGTTAAACACCCTTTTTGTGGAATTTGCAGCTGGAGATTTCAAGCGCTTTGAGGCCTACGGTAGAAAAGGAAACATCTTCTTATAAAATCTAGACAGAATCATTCACAGAAACTTCTTTTTGATGTGTGTGTTCAGCTCACAGAGTTTAACCTTTCTTTTGATGGAGCAGTTGGGAAACACACTGTTTGTAATGTCTGCAAGTGGATATTTGGACCTCTTTGAGGTCTTCGTTGGAAACGGGATTTCTTCCTGTAATGTTCGACAGAAGAATTCTCAGTAACTTATTTGTGGTGTGTGTATTCAACTCACAGAGTTGAACCTTCCTTTAGACAGAGCAGATTTGAAACACCCTATTTGTGCAGTTTCCAGTTGGAGATTTCAATCGCTTTGAGACCAAATGTAGAAAAGGAAACATCTTCGTATAAAAACTAGACAGAATCATTCTCAGAAACTACTTTGTGATGTGTGCGTTCAACTCAAGGAGTTTAAGCTTTCTTTTCATAGAGTAGTTTGGAAACACTCTGTCTGTAAAGTCTGCAAGCAGATATTTGGACCTCTTTGAGGCCTTCGTTGGAAACGGGATTTCTTCATAGAACGGTAGAAAGAAGAATACTGAGTAAGTTCTTTGTGTTGCCTCTATTCAACTCACAAAGGTGAACTGTCCTTTAGACAGAGCAGATGTGAAACCCTCTTTTTGTGATATTTGCAGGTGGAGACTTCAAGCGCTTTTAGGCCAAATGTAGAAAAGGAAATATCTTCGTATAAAAACTAGACAGAATCATTCTCAGAAACTACTTTGTGATGTGTGCGTTCAATTCACAGAGTATAACCTTTCTTTTGATGGAGGAGTTTGGAGACACTGTCTTTGTAAAGTCTGCAAGTGGATATTTGGACCTCTTTGAGGCCTTCGTTGGAAACGGGATTTCCTCATATAATGTTACCCAGAAGATTTCTCAGTAACTTATTTGTGGTGTGTGTATTCAACTCACAGAGTTGATCCTTCCTTCAGAAAGAGCAGATTTGAAACACTCTTTTTGTGGAGTTTCCATGTGGAGATTTCAATCGCTTTGAGACCAAAGGTAGAAAAGGACACATCTTCGTATAAAAACTAGACAGAATCATTCACAGAAACTACTTTGTGATGTGTGTGTTCAACTCAAGGAGTTTAACCTTTCTTTTGATGGAGCAGTTTGGAAAAACTCTGTCTGTAAAGTCTGCAAGCAGATATTTGGACCTCTTTGAGGCCTTCGTTGGAAACGGGATTTCTTCATATAATGTTTGATAGGAGAAGTCTCAGTAACTTCTTTGTCCTGTGTGTATTCAACGCATAGAGTTGAACTTTCCTTTAGAAGAGCAGATGTAAAACACCCTTTTTGTGGAATTTGCAGGTGGAGATTTCAAGCGCATTGAGGCCTACGGTAGAAAAGGAAACATCTTCTTACAAAATCTAGACAGAATCATTCACAGAAACGTCTTTTTGATGTGTGTGTTCAGCTCACAGAGTTTAACCTTTCTTTTGATGGAGCAGTTGGGAAACACACTGTTTGTAATGTCCGCAAGTGGATATTTGGACCTCTTTGAGGCCTTCGTTGGAAACGGGAATTCTTCCTGTAATGTTCGACAGAAGAATTCTCAGTAACTTATTTGTGGTGTGTGTATTCAACTCACAGAGTTGAACCTTCCTTTAGACAGAGCCGATTTGAAACACACTATTTGTGCAGTTTCCAGGTGGAGATTTCAATGGCTTTGAGGCCAAATGTAGAAAAGGGAAACATCTTCGTATAAAAACAAGACAGAAATCATTCTCAGAATCTACTTTGTGATGTGTGCGTTCAACTCAAGGAGTTTAACCTTTCTTTTCATAGAGTAGTTTGGAAACACTCTGTCTGTAAAGTCTGCAAGCAGATATTTGGACCTCTTTGGGGCCTTCGTTGGAAACGGGATTTCTTCATAGAACGCTAGAAAGAAGAATACTGAGTAAGTTCTTTGTGTTGCCTCTATTCAACTCACAGAGGTGAACTGTCCTTTAGACAGAGCAGATGTGAAACCCTCTTTTTGTGATATTTCCAGGTGGAGATTTCAAGCGCTTTTAGGCCAAATGTAGAAAAGGAAATATCTTCGTATAAAAACTAGACAGAATCATTCTCAGAAACTACTTTGTGATGTGTGCGTTCAATTCACAGAGTATAACCTTTCTTTTGATGGAGGAGTTTGGAGACACTGTCTTTGTAAAGTCTGCAAGTGGATATTTGGACCTCTTTGAGGCCTTCGTTGGAAACGGGATTTCCTCATATAATGTTACACAGAAGAATTCTCAGTAACTTATTTGTGGTGTGTGTATTCAACTCACAGAGTTGAACCTTCCTTCAGAAAGAGCAGATTTGAAACACTCTTTTTGTGGAGTTTCCATGTGGAGATTTCAATCGCTTTGAGACTAAAGGTAGAAAAGGAAACATCTTCGTATAAAAACTAGACAGAATCATTCACAGAAACTACTTTGTGATGTGTGTGTTCAACTCAAGGAGTTTAACCTTTCTTTTGATGGAGCAGTTTGGAAACACTCTCTCTGTAAAGTCTGCAAGCAGATATTTGGACCTCTTTGAGGCCTTCGTTGGAAACGGGATTTCTTCATATAATGTTTGATAGGAGAAGTCTCAGTAACTTCTTTGTGCTGTGTGTATTCAACTCATAGAGTTGAACTTTCCTTTAGAAGAGCAGATGTTAAACACCCTTTTTGTGGAATTTGCAGCTGGAGATTTCAAGCGCTTTGAGGCCTACGGTAGAAAAGGAAACATCTTCTTATAAAATCTAGACAGAATCATTCACAGAAACTTCTTTTTGATGTGTGTGTTCAGCTCACAGAGTTTAACCTTTCTTTTGATGGAGCAGTTTGGAAACACTCTGTTTGTAATGTCTGCAAGTGGATATTTGGACCTCTTTGAGGCCTTCGTTGGAAACGGGATTTCTTCAAGTAATGTTCGACAGAAGAATTCTCAGTAACTTATTTGTGGTGTGTGTATTCAACTCACAGAGTTGAACCTTCCTTTAGACAGAGCAGATTTGAAACACCCTATTTGTGCAGTTTCCAGTTGGAGATTTCAATCGCTTTGAGACCAAATGTAGAAAAGGAAACATCTTCGTATAAAAACTAGACAGAATCATTCTCAGTAACTACTTTGTGATGTGTGCGTTCAACTCAAGGAGTTTAAGCTTTCTTTTCATAGAGTACTTTGGAAACACTCTGTCTGTAAAGTCTGCAAGCAGATATTTGGACCTCATTGGGGTCTTCGTTGGAAACGGGATTTCTTCATAGAACGCTAGAAAGAAGAATACTGAGTAAGTTCTTTGTGTTGCCTCTATTCAACTCACAGAGGTGAACTGTCCTTTAGACAGAGCAGATGTGAAACCCTCTTTTTGTGATATTTGCAGGTGGAGATTTCAAGCGCTTTTAGGCCAAATGTAGAAAAGGAAATATCTTCGTATAAAAACTAGACAGAATCATTCTCAGAAACTACTTTGTGATGTGTGCGTTCAATTCACAGAGTATAACCTTTCTTTTGATGGAGGAGTTTGGAGACACTGTCTTTGTAAAGTCTGCAAGTGGATATTTGGACCTCTTTGAGGCCTTCGTTGGAAACGGGATTTCCTCATATAATGTTACACAGAAGAATTCTCAGTAACTTATTTGTGGTGTGTGTATACAACTCACAGAGTTGAACCTTCCTTTAGACAGAGCAGATTTGAAACACTCTTTTTGTGGAGTTTCCATGTGGAGATTTCAATCGCTTTGAGACCAAAGGTAGAAAAGGAAACATCTTCGTATAAAAACTAGACAGAATCATTCACAGAAACTACTTTGTGATGTGTGTGTTCAACTCAAGGAGTTTAACCTTTCTTTTGATGGAGCAGTTTGGAAACACTCTGTCTGTAAAGTCTGCAAGCAGATATTTGGACCTCTTTGAGGCCTTCGTTGGAAACGGGATTTCTTCATATAATGTTTGATAGGAGAAATCTCGGTAACTTCTTTCTGCTGTGTGTATTCAACTCATAGAGTTGAACTTTCCTTTAAAAGAGCAGATGTTAAACACCCTTTTTGTGGAATTTGCAGCTGGAGATTTCAAGCGCTTTGAGGCCTATGGTAGAAAAGGAAACATCTTCTTATAAAATCTAGACAGAATCATTCACAGAAACTTCTTTTTGATGTGTGTGTTCAGCTCACAGAGTTTAACCTTTCTTTTGATGGAGCAGTTGGGAAACACACTGTTTGTAATGTCTGCAAGTGGATATTTGGAGCTCTTTGAGGCCTTCGTTGGAAACGGGATTTCTTCCTGTAATGTTCGACAGAAGAATTCTCAGTAACTTATTTGTGGTGTGTGTATTCAACTCACAGAGTTGAACCTTCCTTTAGACAGAGCAGATTTGAAACACCCTATTTGTGCAGTTTCCAGTTGGAGATTTCAATCGCTTTGAGACCAAATGTAGAAAAGGAAACATCTTCGTATAAAAACTAGACAGAATCATTCTCAGTAACTACTTTGTGATGTGTGCGTTCAACTCAAGGAGTTTAAGCTTTCTTTTCATAGAGTACTTTGGAAACATTCTGTCTGTAAAGTCTGCAGGCAGATATTTGGACCTCTTTGGGCCTTCGTTGGAAACGGGATTTCTTCATAGAACGCCAGAAAGAAGAATACTGAGTAAGTTCTTTGTGTTGCCTCTATTCAACTCACAGAGGTGAACTGTCCTTTAGACAGAGCAGATGTGAAACCCTCTTTTTGTGATATTTGCAGGTGGAGATTTCAAGCGCTTTTAGGCCAAATGTAGAAAAGGAAATATCTTCGTATAAAAACTAGACAGAATCATTCTCAGAAACTACTTTGTGATGTGTGCGTTCAATTCACAGAGTATAACCTTTCTTTTGATGGAGGAGTTTGGAGACACTGTCTTTGTAAAGTCTGCAAGTGGATATTTGGACCTCTTTGAGGCCTTCGTTGGAAACGGGATTTCCTCATATAATGTTACACAGAAGAATTCTCAGTAACTTATTTGTGGTGTGTGTATTCAACTCACAGAGTTGTACCTTCTTTCAGAAAGAGCAGATTTGAAACACTCTTTTTGTGGAGTTTCCATGTGGAGATTTCAATGGCTTTGAGACCAAAGGTAGAAAAGGAAACATCTTCGTATAAAAACTAGACAGAATCATTCACAGAAACTACTTTGTGATGTGTGTGTTCAACTCAAGGAGTTTAACCTTTCTTTTGATGGAGCAGTTTGGAAACACTCTGTCTGTAAAGTCTGCAAGCAGATATTTGGACCTCTTTGAGGCCTTCGTTGCAAACGGGATTTCTTCATATAATCTTTGATAGGAGAAGTCTCAGTAACTTCTTTGTGCTGTGTGTATTCAACTCATGGAGTAGAACTTTCCTTTAGAAGAGCAGATGTTAAACACCCTTTTTGTGGAATTTGCAGCTGGAGATTTCAAGCGCTTTGAGGCCTACGGTAGAAAAGGAAACATCTTCTTCTAAAGCCTAGACAGAATCATTCACAGAAACTTCTTTTTATGTGTGTGTTCAGCTTACAGAGTTTAACGTTTCTTTTGATGGAGCAGTTTGGAAACACTCTGTTTGTAATGTCTGCAAGTGGATATTTGGACCTGTTTGAGGCCTTCGTTGGAAACGGGATTTCTTCATGTAATGTTCGACAGAAGAATTCTCAGTAACTTATTTGTGGTGTGTGTATTCAACTGACAGAGTTGAACCTTCCTTCAGAAAGAGCAGATTTGAAACACCCTATTTGTGCAGTTTCCAGTTAGAGATTTCAATCGCTTTGAGACCAAATGTAGAAAAGGAAACATCTTCGTATAAAAACTAGACAGAATCATTCTCAGAAACTACTTTGTGATGTATGCGTTCAACTCAAGGAGTTTAAGCTTTCTTTTCATAGAGTAGTTTGGAAACACTTTGTCTGTGAAGTCTGCAAGCAGATATTTGGACCTCTTTGAGGCCTTCGTTGGAAACGGGATTTCTTCATAGAATGCTAGAAAGAAGAATACTGAGTAAGTTCTTTGTGTTGCCTCTATTCAACTCACAGAGGTGAACTGTCCTTTAGACAGAGCAGATGTGAAACGCTCTTTTTGTGATATTTGCAGGTGGAGATTTCAAGCGCTTTTAGGCCAAATGTAGAAAAGGAAATATCTTCGTATAAAAACTAGACAGAATCATTCTCAGAAACTACTTTGTGATGTGTGCGTTCAATTCACAGAGTATAACCTTTCTTTTGATGGAGGAGTTTGGAGACACTGTCTTTGTAAAGTCTGCAAGTGGATATTTGGACCTCTTTGAGGCCTTCGTTGGAAACGGGATTTCCTCATATAATGTTACACAGAAGAATTCTCAGTAACTTATTTGTGGTGTGTGTATTCAACTCACAGAGATGAACCTTCCTTCAGAAAGAGCAGATTTGAAACACTCTTTTTGTGGAGTTTCCATGTGGAGATTTCAATCGCTTTGAGACCAAAGGTAGAAAAGGAAACATCTTCGTATAACAACTAGACAGAATCATTCACAGAAACTACTTTGTGATGTGTGTGTTCAACTCAAGGAGTTTAACCTTTCTTTTGATGGAGCAGTTTGGAAAAACTCTGTCTGTAAAGTCTGCAAGCAGATATTTGGACCTCTTTGAGGCCATCGTTGGAAACGGGATTTCTTCATATAATGTTTGATAGGAGAAGTCTCAGTAACTTCTTTGTGCTGTGTGTATTCAACTCATAGAGTTGAACTTTCCTTTAGAAGAGCAGATGTTAAACACCCTTTTTGTGGAATTTGCAGCTGGAGATTTCAAGCGCTTTGAGGCCTACGGTAGAAAAGGAAACATCTTCTTATAAAATCTAGACAGAATCATTCACAGAAACTTCTTTTTGATGTGTGTGTTCAGCTCACCGAGTTTAACCTTTCTTTTGATGGAGCAGTTTGGAAACACACTGTTTGAAATGTCTGCAAGTGGATATTTGGACCTCTTTGAGGCCTTCGTTGGAAACGGGATTTCTTCCTGTAATGTTCGACAGAAGAATTCTCAGTAACTTATTTGTGGTGTGTGTATTCAACTCACAGAGTTGAACCTTCCCTTTAGACAGAGCAGATTTGAAACACCCTATTTGTGCAGTTTCCAGTTGGAGATTTCAATCGCTTTGAGACCAAATGTAGAAAAGGAAACATCTTCGTATAAAAACTAGACAGAATCATTCTCAGAAACTACTTTGTGATGTGTGCGTTCAACTGAAGGAGTTTAAGCTTTCTTTTCATAGAGTAGTTTGGAAACACTCTGTCTGTAAAGTCTGCAAGCAGATATTTGGACCTCTTTGGGGCCTTCGTTGGAAACGGGATTTCTTCATAGAACGCTAGAAAGAAGAATACTGAGTAAGTTCTTTGTGTTGCCTCTATTCAACTCACAGAGGTGAACTGTCCTTTAGACAGAGCAGATGTGAAACCCTCTTTTTGTGATATTTGCACGTGGAGATTTCAAGCGCTTTTAGGCCAAATGTAGAAAAGGAAATATCTTCGTATAAAAACTAGACAGAATCATTCTCAGAAACTACTTTGTGATGTGTGCGTTCAATTCACAGAGTATAACCTTTCTTTTGATGGAGGAGTTTGGAGACACTGTCTTTGTAAAGTCTGCAAGTGGATATTTGGACCTCTTTGAGGCCTTCGTTGGAAACGGGATTTCCTCATATAATGTTACACAGAAGAATTCTCAGTAACTTATTTGTGGTGTGTGTATTCAACTCACAGAGATGAACCTTCCTTCAGAAAGAGCAGATTTGAAACACTCTTTTTGTGGAGTTTCCATGTGGAGATTTCAATCGCTTTGAGACCAAAGGTAGAAAAGGAAACATCTTCGTATAAAAACTAGACAGAATCATTCACAGAAACTACTTTGTGATGTGTGTGTTCAACTCAAGGAGTTTAACCTTTCTTTTGATGGAGCAGTTTGGAAACACTCTGTCTGTAAAGTCTGCAAGCAGATATTTGGACCTCTTTGAGGCCTTCGTTGGAAACGGGATTTCTTCATATAATGTTTGATAGGAGAAGTCTCAGTAACTTCTTTGTGCTGTGTGTATTCAACTCATAGAGTTGAACTTTCCTTTAGAAGAGCAGATGTTAAACACCCTTTTTGTGGAATTTGCAGCTGGAGATTTCAAGCGCTTTGAGGCCTACGGTAGAAAAGGAAACATCTTCTTATAAAATCTAGACAGAATCATTCACAGAAACTTCTTTTTGATGTGTGTGTTCAGCTCACAGAGTTTAACCTTTCTTTTGATGGAGCAGTTTGGAAACACTCTGTTTGTAATGTCTGCAAGTGGATATTTGGACCTCTTTGAGGCCTTCGTTGGAAACGGGATTTCTTCATGTAATGTTCGACAGAAGAATTCTCAGTAACTTATTTGTGGTGTGTGTATTCAACTCACAGAGCTGAACCTTCCTTTAGACAGAGCAGATTTGAAACAGCCTATTTGTGCAGTTTCCAGTTGGAGATTTCAATCGCTTTGAGACCAAATGTAGAAAAGGAAACATCTTCGTATAAAAACTAGACAGAATCATTCTCAGAAACTACTTTGTGATGTGTGCGTTCAACTCAAGGAGTTTAAGCTTTCTTTTCATAGAGTAGTTTGGAAACACTCTGTCTGTAAAGTCTGCAAGCAGATATTTGGACCTCTTTGGGGCCTTCGTTGGAAACGGGATTTCTTCATAGAACGCTAGAAAGAAGAATACTGAGTAAGTTCTTTGTGTTGCCTCTATTCAACTCACAGAGGTGAACTGTCCTTTAGACAGAGCAGATGTGAAACCCTCTTTTTGTGATATTTGCACGTGGAGATTTCAAGCGCTTTTAGGCCAAATGTAGAAAAGGAAATATCTTCGTATAAAAACTAGACAGAATCATTCTCAGAAACTACTTTGTGATGTGTGCGTTCAATTCACAGAGTATAACCTTTCTTTTGATGGAGGAGTTTGGAGACACTGTCTTTGTAAAGTCTGCAAGTGGATATTTGGACCTCTTTGAGGCCTTCGTTGGAAACGGGATTTCCTCATATAATGTTACACAGAAGAATTCTCAGTAACTTATTTGTGGTGTGTGTATTCAACTCACAGAGTTGAACCTTCCTTCAGAAAGAGCAGATTTGAAACACTCTTTTGGTGGAGTTTCCATGTGGAGATTTCAATCGCTTTGAGACCAAAGGTAGAAAAGGAAACATCTTCGTATAAAAACTAGACAGAATCATTCACAGAAACTACTTTGTGATGTGTGTGTTCAACTCAAGGAGTTTAACCTTTCTTTTGATGGAGCAGTTTGGAAACACTCTGTCTGTAAAGTCTGCAAGCAGATATTTGGACCTCTTTGAGGCCTTCGTTGGAAACGGGATTTCTTCATATAATGTTTGATAGGAGAAGTCTCAGTAACTTCTTTGGGCTGTGTGTATTCAACTCATTGAGTTGAACTTTCCTTTAGAAGAGCAGATGTTAAACACCCTTTTTGTGGAATTTGCAGCTGGAGATTTCAAGCACTTTGAGGCCTACAGTAGAAAAGGAAACATCTTCTTATAAAATCTAGACAGAATCATTCACAGAAACTTCTTTTTGATGTGTGTGTTCAGCTCACAGAGTTTAACCTTTCTTTTGATGGAGCAGTTTGGAAACACTCTCTTTGTAATGTCTGCAAGTGGATATTTGGACGTCTTTGAGGCCTTCGTTGGAAACGGGATTTCTTCATGTAATGTTCGACAGAAGAATTCTCAGTAACTTATTTGTGGTGTGTGTATTCAACTCACAGAGTTGAACCTTCCTTTAGACAGAGCAGATTTGAAACACCCTATTTGTGCAGTTTCCAGTTGGAGATTTCAATCGCTTGGAGGCCAATCATAGAAACGGAAATATCTTCGTATAAAAACAAGACAGAATCATTCTCAGAAACTACTTTGTGATGTGTGCGTTCAACTCAAGGAGTTTAAGCTTTCTTTTCATAGAGTAGTTTGGAAACACTCTGTCTGTAAAGTCTGCAAGCAGATATTTGGACCTCTTTAGGGCCTTCGTTGGAAACGGGATTTCTTCATAGAACGCTAGAAAGAAGAATACTGAGTACGTTCTTTGTGTTGCCTCTATTCAACTCACAGAGGTGAACTGTCCTTTAGACAGAGCAGATGTGAAACCCTCTTTTTGTGATATTTGCAGGTGGAGATTTCAAGCGCTTTTAGGCCAAATGTAGAAAAGGAAATATCTTCGTATAAAAACTAGACAGAATCATTCTCAGAAACTACTTTGTGATGTGTGCGTTCAATTCACAGAGTATAACCTTTCTTTTGATGGAGGAGTTTGGAGACACTGTCTTTGTAAAGTCTGCAAGTGGATATTTGGACCTCTTTGAGGCCTTCGTTGGAAACGGGATTTCCTCATATAATGTTACACAGAAGAATTCTCAGTAACTTATTTGTGGTGTGTGTATTCAACTCACAGAGTTGAACCTTCCTTCAGAAAGAGCAGATTTGAAACACTCTTTTTGTGGAGTTTCCATGTGGAGATTTCAATCGCTTTGAGACCAAAGGTAG
Source organism: Homo sapiens (assembly GCF_000001405.40). Taxonomy (NCBI): domain Eukaryota; kingdom Metazoa; phylum Chordata; class Mammalia; order Primates; family Hominidae; genus Homo; species Homo sapiens. The sequence continues at coordinate 37,003,161 of NC_000012.12, forward strand.
AAAAGGAAACATCTCCGTATAAAAACTAGACAGAATCATTCACAGAAACTACTTTGTGATGTGTGTGTTCAACTCAAGGAGGTTAACCTTTCTTTTGATGGAGCAGTTTGGAAACCCTCTGTCTGTAAAGTCTGCAAGCAGATATTTGGACCTCTTTGAGGCCTTCGTTGGAAACGGGATTTCTTCATATAATGTTTGATAGGAGAAGTCTCAGTAACTTCTTTGTGCTGTGTGTATTCAACTCATAGAGTTGAACTTTCCTTTAAAAGAGCAGATGTTAAACACCCTTTTTGTGGAATTTGCAGCTGGAGATTTCAAGCGCTTTGAGGCCTACTGTAGAAAAGGAAACATCTTCTTATAAAATCTAGACAGAATCATTCACAGAAACTTCTTTTTGATGTGTGTGTTCAGCTCACAGAGTTTAACCTTTCTTTTGATGGAGCACTTGGGAAACACACTGTTTGTAATGTCTGCAAGTGGATATTTGGACCTCTTTGAGGCCTTCGTTGGAAACGGGATTTCTTCCTGTAATGTTCGACAGAAGAATTCTCAGTAACTTCTTTGTGGTGTGTGTATTCAACTCACAGAGTTGAACCTTCCTTTAGACAGAGCAGATTTGAAACACCCTGTTTGTGCAGTTTCCAGTTGGAGATTTCAATCGCTTTGAGACCAAATGTAGAAAAGGAAACATCTTTGTATAAAAACTAGACAGAATCATTCTCAGAAACTACTTTGTGATGTGTGCGTTCAACTCAAGGAGTTTAAGCTTTCTTTTCATAGAGTAGTTTGGAAACACTCTGTCTGTAATGTCTGCAAGCAGATATTTGGACCTCTTTGAGGCCTTCGTTGGAAACGGGATTTCTTCATAGAACGCTAGAAAGAAGAATACTGAGTAAGTTCTTTGTGTTGCCTCTACTCAACTCACAGAGGTGAACTGTCCTTTAGACAGAGCAGATGTGAAACCCTCTTTTTGTGATATTTGCAGGTGGAGATTTCAAGCGCTTTTAGGCCAAATGTAGAAAAGGAAATATCTTCGTATAAAAACTAGACAGAATCATTCTCAGAAACTACTTTGTGATGTGTGCGTTCAATTCACAGAGTATAACCTTTCTTTTGATGGAGGAGTTTGGAGACACTGTCTTTGTAAAGTCTGCAAGTCGATATTTGGACCTCTTTGAGGCCTTCGTTGGTAACGGGATTTCCTCATATAATGTTACACAGAAGAATTCTCAGTAACTTATTTGTGGTGTGTGTATTCAACTCACAGAGTTGAACCTTCCTTCAGAAAGAGCAGATTTGAAACACTCTTTTTGTGGAGTTTCCATGTGGAGATTTCAATCGCTTTGAGACCAAAGGTAGAAAAGGAAACATCTTCGTATAAAAACTAGACAGATAATCATTCACAGAAACTACTTTGTGATGTGTGTGTTCAACTCAAGGAGTTTAACCTTTCTTTTGATGGAGCAGTTTGGAAACACTCTGTCTGTAAAGTCTGCAAGCAGATATTTGGACCTCTTTGAGGCCTTCGTTGGAAACGGGATTTCTTCATATAATGTTTGATAGGAGAAGTCTCAGTAACTTCTTTGTGCTGTGTGTATTCAACTCATAGAGTTGAACTTTCCTTTAGAAGAGCAGATGTTAAACACCCTTTTTGTGGAATTTGCAGCTGGAGATTTCAAGCGCTTTGAGGCCTACGGTAGAAAAGGAAACATCTTCTTATAAAATCTAGACAGAATCATTCACAGAAACTTCTTTTTGATGTGTGTGTTCAGCTCACAGAGTTTAACCTTTGTTTTGAGGGAGCAGTTTGGAAACACACTGTTTGTAGTGTATGCAAGTGGATATTTGGACCTCTTTGAGGCGTTCGTTGGAAACGGGATTTCTTCATGTAATGTTCGACAGAAGAATTCTCAGTAACTTATTTGTGGTGTGTGTATTCAACTCACAGAGTTGAACCTTCCTTTAGACAGAGCAGATTTGAAACACCCTATTTGTGCAGTTTCCAGTTGGAGATTTCAATCGCTTTGAGACCAAATGTAGAAAAGGAAACATCTTCGTATTAAAACTAGACAGAATCATTCTCAGAAACTACTTTGTGATGTGTGCGTTCAACTCAAGGAGTTTAAGCTTTCTTTTCATAGAGTAGTTTGGAAACACTCTGTCTGTAAAGTCTGCAAGCAGATATTTGGACCTCTTTGGGGCCTTCGTTGGAAATGTGATTTCTTCATAGAACGCTAGAAAGAAGAATACTGAGTAAGTTCTTTGTGTTGCCTCTATTCAACTCACAGAGGTGAACTGTCCTTTAGACAGAGCAGATGTGAAACCCTCTTTTTGTGATATTTGCAGGTGGAGATTTCAAGCGCTTTTAGGCCAAATGTAGAAAAGGAAATATCTTCGTATAAAAACTAGACAGAATCATTCTCAGAAACTACTTTGTGATGTGTGCATTCAATTCACAGAGTATAACCTTTCTTTTGATGGAGGAGTTTGGAGACACTGTCTTTGTAAAGACTGCAATTGGATATTTGGACCTCTTTGGGGCCATCGTTGGAAACGGGATTTCCTCATATAATGTTACACAGAAGAATTCTCAGTAACTGATTTGTGGTGTGTGTATTCAACTCACAGAGTTGAACCTTCCTTCAGAAAGAGCAGATTTGAAACACTCTTTTTGTGGAGTTTCCATGTGGAGATTTCAATCGCTTTGAGACCAAAGGTAGAAAAGGAAACATCTTCGTATAAAAACTAGACAGAATCATTCACAGAAACTACTTTGTGATGTGTGTGTTCAACTAAAGGAGTTTAACCTTTCTTTTGATGGAGCAGTTTGGAAACACTCTGTCTGTAAAGTCTGCAAGCAGATATTTGGACCTCTTTCAGGCCTTCGTTGGAAACGGGATTTCTTCATATAATGTTTGATAGGAGAAGTCTCAGTAACTTCTTTGTGCTGTGTGTATTCACCTCATAGAGTTGAACTTTCCTTTAGAAGAGCAGATGTTAAACACCCTTTTTGTGGAATTTGCAGCTGGAGATTTCAAGCGCTTTGAGGCCTACGGTAGAAAAGGAAACATCTTCTTATAAAATCTAGACAGAATCATTCACAGAAACTTCTTTTTGATGTGTGTGTTCAGCTCACAGAGTTTAACCTTTCTTTTGATGGAGCAGTTTGGAAACACTCTGTTTGTAATGTCTGCAAGTGGATATTTGGACCTCTTTGAGGCCTTCGTTGGAAACGGGATTTCTTCAAGTAATGTTCGACAGAAGAATTCTCAGTAACTTATTTGTGGTGTGTGTATTCAACTCACAGAGTTGAACCTTCCTTTAGACAGAGCAGATTTGAAACACCCTATTTGTGCAGTTTCCAGTTGGAGATTTCAATCGCTTTGAGACCAAATGTAGAAAAGGAAACATCTTCGTATAAAAACTAGACAGAATCATTCTCAGAAACTACTTTGTGATGTGTGCGTTCAACTCAAGGAGTTTAAGCTTTCTTTTCATAGAGTAGTTTGGAAACACTCTGTCTGTAAAGTCTGCAAGCAGATATTTGACCTCTTTGAGGCCTTCGTTGGAAACGGGATTTCTTCATAGAACGCTAGAAAGAAGAATACTGAGTAAGTTCTTTGTGTTGCCTCTATTCAACTCACAGAGGTGAACTGTCCTTTAGACAGAGCAGATGTGAAACCCTCTTTTTGTGATATTTGCAGGTGGAGATTTCAAGCGCTTTTAGGCCAAATGTAGAAAAGGAAATATCTTCGTATAAAAAACAGACAGAATCATTCTCAGAAACTACTTTGTGATGTGTGCGTTCAATTCACAGAGTATAACCTTTCTTTTGATGGAGGAGTTTGGAGACACTGTCTTTGTAAAGTCTGCAAGTGGATATTTGGACCTCTTTGAGGCCTTCGTTGGAAACGGGATTTCCTCATATAATGTTACACAGAAGAATTCTCAGTAACTTATTTGTGGTGTGTGTATTCAACTCACAGAGTTGAACCTTCCTTCAGAAAGAGCAGATTTGAAACACTCTTTTTGAGGAGTTTCCATGTGGAGATTTCAATCGCTTTGAGACCAAAGGTAGAAAAGGAAACATCTTCTTATAAAAACTAGACAGAATCATTCACAGAAACTACTTTGTGATGTGTGTGTTCAACTCAAGGAGTTTAACCTTTCTTTTGATGGAGCAGTTTGGAAACACTCTGTCTGTAAAGTCTGCAAGCAGATATTTGGACCTCTTTGAGGCCTTCGTTGGAAACGGGATTTCTTCATATAATGTTTGATAGCAGAAGTCTCAGTAACTTCTTTGTGCTGTGTGTATTCAACTCATAGAGTTGAACTTTCCTTTAGAAGAGCAGATGTTAAACACCCTTTTTGTGGAATTTGCAGCTGGAGATTTCAAGCGCTTTGAGGCCTACGGTAGAAAAGGAAACATCTTCTTATAAAATCTAGACAGAATCATTCACAGAAACTTCTTTTTGATGTGTGTGTTCAGCTCACAGAGTATAACCTTTCTTTTGATGGAGCAGTTTGGAAACACTCTGTTTGTAATGTCTACAAGTGGATATTTGGACCTCTTTGAGGCCTTCGTTGGAAACGGGATTTCTTCAAGTAATGTTCGACAGAAGAATTCTCAGTAACTTATTTGTGGTGTGTGTATTCAACTCCCTGAGTTGAATCTTCCTTTAGACAGAGCAGATTTGAAACACCCTATTTGTGCAGTTTCCAGTTGGAGATTTCAATCGCTTTGAGACCAAATGTAGAAAAGGAAACATCTTCGTATAAAAACTAGACAGCATCATTCTCAGAAACTACTTTGTGATGTGTGCGTTCAACTGAAGGAGTTTAAGCTTTCTTTTCATAGAGTAGTTTGGAAACACTCTGTCTGTAAAGTCTGCAAGCAGATATTTGACCTCTTTGAGGCCTTCGTTGGAAACGGGATTTCTTCATAGAACGCTAGAAAGAAGAATACTGAGTAAGTTCTTTGTGTTGCCTCTATTCAACTCACAGAGGTGAACTGTCCTTTAGACAGAGCAGATGTGAAACCCTCTTTTTGTGATATTTGCAGGTGGAGATTTCAAGCGCTTTTAGGCCAAATGTAGAAAAGGAAATATCTTCGTATAAAAACTAGACAGAATCATTCTCAGAAACTACTTTGTGATGTGTGCGTTCAATTCACAGAGGATAACCTTTCTTTTGATGGAGGAGTTTGGAGACACTGTCTTTGTAAAGTCTGCAAGTGGATATTTGGACCTCTTTGAGGCCTTCGTTGGAAACGGGATTTCCTCCTATAATGTTACACAGAAGAATTCTCAGTAACTTATTTGTGGTGTGTGTATTCAACTCACAGAGTTGAACCTTCCTTCAGAAAGAGCAGATTTGAAACACTCTTTTTGTGGAGTTTCCATGTGGAGATTTCAATCGCTTTGAGACCAAAGGTAGAAAAGGAAACATCTTCGTATAAAAACTAGACAGAATCATTCACAGAAACTACTTTGTGATGTGTGTGTTCAACTCAAGGAGTTTAACCTTTCTATTCATGGAGCAGTTTGGAAAAACTCTGTCTGTAAAGTCTGCAAGCAGATATTTGGACCTCTTTGAGGCCTTCTTTGGAAACGGGATTTCTTCATATAATGTTTGATAGGAGAAGTCTCAGTAACTTCTTTGTGCTGTGTGTATTCAACTCATAGAGTTGAACTTTCCTTTAGAAGAGCAGATGTTAAACACCCTTTTTGTGGAATTTGCAGCTGGAGATTTCAAGCGCTTTGAGGCCTACGGTAGAAAAGGAAACATCTTCTTATAAAATCTAGACAGAATCATTCACAGAAGCTTCTTTTTGATGTGTGTGTTCAGCTCACAGAGTTTAACCTTTCTTTTGATGGAGCAGTTTGGAAACACTCTGTTTGTAATGTCTGCAAGTGGATATTTGGACCTCTTTGAGGCCTTCGTTGGAAACGGGATTTCTTCATGTAATGTTCGACAGAAGAATTCTCAGTAACTTATTTGTGGTGTGTGTATTCAACTCACAGAGTTGAACCTTCCTTTAGACAGAGCAGATTTGAAACACCCTATTTGTGCAGTTTCCAGTTGGAGATTTCAATCGCTTTGAGGCCAATCATAGAAACGGAAATATCTTCGTATAAAAACAAGACAGAATCATTGTCAGAAACTACTTTGTGATGTGTGCGTTCAACTCACGGAGTTTAAGCTTTCTTTTCATAGAGTAGTTTGGAAACACTCTGTCTGTAAAGTCTGCAAGCAGATATTTGGACCTCTTTGAGGCTTTCGTTGGAAACGGGATTTCTTCATATAAATGCTTAAGAACAGAAGAATACTGAGTAAGTTCTTTGTGTTGCCTCTATTCAACTCACAGAGGTGAACTGTCCTTTAGAAAGAGCAGATGTGAAACCCTCTTTTTGTGATATTTGCAGGTGGAGATTTCAAGCGCTTTTAGGCCAAATGTAGAAAAAAAAATATCTTCGTATAAAAACTAGACAGAATCATTCTCAGAAACTACTTTGTGATGTGTGCGTTCAATTCACAGAGTATAACCTTTCTTTTGATGGACGAGTTTGGAGACACTGTCTTTGTAAAGTCTGCAAGTGGATATTTGGACCTCTTTGAGGCCTTCGTTGGAAACGGGATTTCCTCATATAATGTTACACAGAAGAATTCTCAGTAACTTATTTGTGGTGTGTGTATTCAACTCACAGAGTTGAACCTTCCTTCAGAAAGAGCAGATTTGAAACACTCTTTTTGTGGAGTTTCCATGTGGAGATTTCAATCGCTTTGAGACCAAAGGTAGAAAAGGAAACATCTTCGTATAAAAACTAGACAGAATCATTCACAGAAACTACTTTGTGATGTGTGTGTTCAACTCAAGGAGTTTAACCTTTCTTTTGATGGAGCAGTTTGGAAACACTCTGTCTGTAAAGTCTGCAAGCAGATATTTGGACCTCTTTGAGGCCTTCGTTGGAAACGGGATTTCTTCATATAATGTTTGATAGGAGAAGTCTCAGTAACTTCTTTGTGCTGTGTGTATTCAACTCATAGAGTTGAACTTTCCTTTAGAAGAGCAGATGTTAAACACCCTTTTTGTGGAATTTGCAGCTGGAGATTTCAAGCGCTTTGAGGCCTACGGTAGAAAAGGAAACATCTTCTTATAAAATCTAGACAGAATCATTCACAGAAACTTCTTTTCGATGTGTGTGTTCAGCTCACAGAGTTTAACCTTTCTTTTGATGGAGCAGTTTGGAAACACTCTGTAATGTCTGCAAGTGGATATTTGGACCTCTTTGGGGCCTTCGTTGGAAACGGGATTTCTTCATAGAACGCTAGAAAGAAGAATACTGAGTAAGTTTTTTGTGTTGCCTCTATTCAACTCACAGAGGTGAACTGTCCTTTAGACAGAGCAGATGTGAAACCCTCTTTTTGTGATATTTGCAGGTGGAGATTTCAAGCGCTTTGAGGCCTACGGTAGAAAAGGAAACATCTTCTTATAAAATCTAGACAGAATCATTCACAGAAACTTCTTTTCGATGTGTGTGTTCAGCTCACAGAGTTTAACCTTTCTTTTGATGGAGCAGTTTGGAAACACTCTGTAATGTCTGCAAGTGGATATTTGGACCTCTTTGAGGCCTTCGTTGGAAACGGGATTTCTTCATGTAATGTTCGACAGAAGAATTCTCAGTAACTTATTTGTGGTTTGTGTATTCAACTCACAGAGTTGAACCTTCCTTTAGACAGAGCAGATTTGAAACACCCTAATTGCGCAGTTTCCAGTTGGAGATTTCAATCGCTTTGAGACCAAATGTAGGAAAGGAAACATCTTCTTATAAAAACTAGACAGAATCATTCTCAGAAACTACTTTGTGATGTGTGCGTTCAACTCAAGGAGTTTAAGCTTTGTTTTCATAGAGTAGTTTGGAAACACTGTGTCTGTAATGTCTGCAAGCAGATATTTGGACCTCATTGAGGCCTTCGTTGGAAACGGGAATTCTTCATAGAACGCTAGAAAGAAGAATACTGAGTAAGTTCTTTGTGTTGCCTCTATTCAACTCACAGAGGTGAACTGTCCTTTAGGCAGAGCAGATGTGAAACCCTCTTTTTGTGATATTTGCAGGTGGAGATTTCAAGCGCTTTTAGGCCAAATGTAGAAAAGGAAATATCTTCGTATAAAAACTAGACAGAATCATTCTCAGAAACTACTTTGTGATGTGTGCATTCAATTCACAGAGTATAACCTTTCTTTTGATGGAGGAGTTTGGAGACACTGTCTTTGAAAAGTCTGCAAGTGGATATTTGGCCCTCTTTGAGGCCTTCGTTGGAAACGGGATTTCCTCATATAATGTTACACAGAAGAATTCTCAGTAACTGATTTGTGGTGTGTGTATTCAACTCACAGAGTTGAAGCTTCCTTCAGAAAGAGCAGATTTGAAACACTCTTTTTGTGGAGTTTCCATGTGGAGATTTCAATCGCTTTGAGACCAAAGGTAGAAAAGGATACATCTTCGTATAAAAACTAGACAGAATCATTCACAGAAACTACTTTGTGATGTGTGTGTTCAACTCAAGGAGTTTAACCTTTCTTTTGATGGAGCAGTTTGGAAACACTCTGTCTGTAAAGTCTGCAAGCAGATATTTGGACCTCTTTGAGGCCTTCGTTGGAAACGGGATTTCTTCATATAATGTTTGATAGGAGAAGTCTCAGTAACTTCTTTGTGCTGTGTGTATTCAACTCATAGAGTTGAACTTTCCTTTAGAAGAGCAGATGTTAAACACCCTTTTTGTGGAATTTGCAGCTGGAGATTTCAAGCGCTTTGAGGCCTACGGTAGAAAAGGAAACATCTTCTTATAAAATCTAGACAGAATCATTCACAGAAACTTCTTTTTGATGTGTGTGTTCAGCTCACAGAGTTTAACCTTTCTTTTGATGGAGCAGTTTGGAAACACTCTGTTTGTAATGTCTGCAAGTGGATATTTGGACCTCTTTGAGGCCTTCGTTGGAAACGGGATTTCTTCATGTAATGTTCGACAGAAGAATTCTCAGTAACTTATTTGTGGTGTGTGTATTCAACTCACAGAGTTGAACCTTCCTTTAGACAGAGCAGATTTGAAACACCCTATTTGTGCAGTTTCCAGTTGGAGATTTCAATCGCTTTGAGACCAAATGTAGAAAAGGAAACATCTTCGTATAAAAACTAGACAGAATCATTCTCAGAAACTACTTTGTGATGTGTGCGTTCAACTCAAGGAGTTTAAGCTTTCTTTTCATAGAGTAGTTTGGAAACACTCTGTCTGTAAAGTCTGCAAGCAGATATTTGGACCTCATTGGGGTCTTCGTTGGAAACCGGATTTCTTCATAGAACGCTAGAAAGAAGAATACTGAGTAAGTTCTTTGTGTTGCCTCTATTCAACTCACAGAGGTGAACTGTCCTTTAGACAGAGCAGATGTGAAACCCTCTTTTTGTGATATTTGCAGGAGGAGATTTCAAGCGCTTTTAGGCCAAATGTAGAAAAGGAAATATCTTCGTATAAAAACTAGACAGAATCATTCTCAGAAACTACTTTGTGATGTGTGCGTTCAATTCACAGAGTATAACCTTTCTTTTGATGGAGGAGTTTGGAGACACTGTCTTTGTAAAGTCTGCAAGTGGATATTTGGATCTCTTTGAGGCCTTCGTTGGAAACGGGATTTCCTCATATAATGTTACACAGAGAATTCTCAGTAACTTATTTGTGGTGTGTGTATTCAACTCACAGAGTTGAACCTTCCTTCAGAAAGAGCAGATTTGAAACACTCTTTTTGTGGAGTTTCCATGTGGAGATTTCAATCGCTTTGAGACCAAAGGTAGAAAAGGAAACATCTTCGTATTAAAACTAGACAGAATCATTCACAGAAACTACTTTGTGATGTGTGTGTTCAACTCAAGGAGTTTAACCTTTCTTTTGATGGAGCAGTTTGGAAACACTCTGTCTGTAAAGTCTGCAAGCAGATATTTGGACCTCTTTGAGGCCTTCGTTGGAAACGGGATTTCTTCATATAATGTTTGATAGGAGAAGTCTCAGAAACTTCTTTGTGCTGTGTGTATTCAACTCATAGAGTTGAACTTTCCTTTAGAAGAGCAGATGTTAAACACCCTTTTTGTGGAATTTGCAGCTGGAGATTTCAAGCGCTTTGAGGCCTACGGTAGAAAAGGAAACATCTTCTTATAAAATCTAGACAGAATCATTCACAGAAACTTCTTTTTGATGTGTGTGTTCAGCTCACAGAGTTTAACCTTTCTTTTGATGGAGCAGTTTGGAAACACTCTGTTTGTAATGTCTGCAAGTGGATATTTGGACCTCTTTGAGGCCTTCGTTGGAAACGGGATTTCTTCAAGTAATGTTCGACAGAAGAATTCTCAGTAACTTATTTGTGGTGTGTGTATTCAACTCACAGAGTTGAACCTTCCTTTAGACAGAGCAGATTTGAAACACCCTATTTGTGCAGTTTCCAGTTGGAGATTTCAATCGCTTTGAGACCAAATGTAGAAAAGGAAACATCTTCGTATAAAAACTAGACAGAATCATTCTCAGAAACTACTTTGTGATGTGTGCGTTCAACTCAAGGAGTTTAAGCTTTCTTTTCATAGAGTAGTTTGGAAACACTCTGTCTGTAAAGTCTGCAAGCAGATATTTGGACCTCTTTGGGGCCTTCGTTGGAAACGGGATTTCTTCATAGAACGCTAGAAAGAAGAATACTGAGTAAGTTCTTTGTGTTGCCTCTATTCAACTCACAGAGGTTAACTGCCCTTTAGACAGAGCAGATGTGAAACCCTCTTTTTGTGATATTTGCAGGTGGAGATTTCAAGCGCTTTGAGGCCAAATGTAGAAAAGGAAATATCTTCGTATAAAAACTAGACAGAATCATTCTCAGAAACTACTTTGTGATGTGTGCGTTCAATTCACAGAGTATAACCTTTCTTTTGATGGAGGAGTTTGGAGACACTGTCTTTGTAAAGTCTGCAGGTGGATATTTGGACCTCTTTGAGGCCTTCGTTGGAAACGGGATTTCCTCATATAATGTTACACAGAAGAATTCTCAGTAACTTATTTGTGGTATGTGTATTCAACTCACAGAGTTGAACCTTCCTTTAGACAGAGCAGATTTGAATCACCCTATTTATGCAGTTTCCAGTTGGAGATTTCAATCGCTTTGAGGCCAATCGTAGAAACGGAAATATCTTCGTATAAAAACAAGACAGAATCATTCTCAGAAACTACTTTGTGATGTGTGCGTTCAACTCACGGAGTTTAAGCTTTCTTTTCATAGAGTAGTTTGGAAACACTCTGTCTGTAAAGTCTGCAAGCAGATATTTGGACCTCTTTGAGGCCTTCGTTGGAAACGGGATTTCTTCATATAACGCTAGAAAGAAGAATACTCAGTAACTTCTTTGTGTTGCCTCTATTCAACTCACAGAGGTGAACTGTCCTTTAGACAGAGCAGATGTGAAACCCTCTTTTTGTGATATTTGCAGGTGGAGATTTCAAGCGCTTTTAGGCCAAATGTAGAAAAGGAAATATCTTCGTATAAAAACTAGACAGAATCATTCTCAGAAACTACTTTGTGATGTGTGCGTTCAATTCACAGAGTATAACCTTTCTTTTGATGGAGGAGTTTGGAGACACTGTCTTTGTAAAGTCTGCAAGTGGATATTTGGACCTCTTTGAGGCCTTCGTTGGAAACGGGATTTCCTCATATAATGTTACACAGAAGAATTCTCAGTAACTTATTTGTGGTGTGTGTATTCAACTCACAGAGATGAACCTTCCTTCAGAAAGAGCAGATTTGAAACACTCTTTTTGTGGAGTTTCCATGTGGAGATTTCAATCGCTTTGAGACCAAAGGTAGAAAAGGAAACATCTTCGTATAACAACTAGACAGAATCATTCACAGAAACTACTTTGTGATGTGTGTGTTCAACTCAAGCAGTTTAACCTTTCTTTTGATGGAGCAGTTTGGAAACACTCTGTCTGTAAAGTCTGCAAGCAGATATTTGGACCTCTTTGAGGCCTTCGTTGGAAACGGGATTTCTTCATATAATGTTTGATAGGAGAAGTCTCAGTAACTTCTTTGTGCTGTGTGTATTCAACTCATAGAGTTGAACTTTCCTTTAGAAGGGCAGATGTTAAGCACCCTTTTTGTGGAATTTGCAGCTGGAGATTTCAAGCGCTTTGAGGCCTACGGTAGAAAAGGAAACATCTTATAAAATCTAGACAGAATCATTCACAGAAACTTCTTTTTGATGTGTGTGTTCAGCTCACAGAGTTTAACCTTTCTTTTGATGGAGCAGTTTGGAAACACTCTGTTTGTAATGTCTGCAAGTGGATATTTGGACCTCTTTGAGGCCTTCGTTGGAAACGGGATTTCTTCATGTAATGTTCGACAGAAGAATTCTCAGTAACTTATTTGTGGTGTGTGTATTCAACTCACAGAGTTGAACCTTCCTTTAGACAGAGCAGATTTGAAACACCCTATTTGTGCAGTTTCCAGTTGGAGATTTCAATCGCTTTGAGACCAAATGTAGAAAAGGAAACATCTTCGTATAAAAACTGGACAGAATCATTCTCAGAAACTACTTTGTGATGTGTGCGTTCAACTCAAGGAGTTTAAGCTTTCTTTTCATAGAGTAGTTTGGAAACACTCTGTCTGTAAAGTCTGCAAGCAGATATTTGACCTCTTTGAGGCCTTCGTTGGAAACGGGATTTCTTCATAGAACGCTAGAAAGAAGAATACTGAGTAAGTTCTTTGTGTTGCCTCTATTCAACTCACAGAGGTGAACTGTCCTTTAGACAGAGCAGATGTGAAACCCTCTTTTTGTGATATTTGCACGTGGAGATTTCAAGCGCTTTTAGGCCAAATGTAGAAAAGGAAATATCTTCGTATAAAAACTAGACAGAATCATTCTCAGAAACTACTTTGTGATGTGTGCGTTCAATTCACAGAGTATAACCTTTCTTTTGATGGAGGAGTTTGGAGACACTGTCTTTGTAAAGTCTGCAAGTGGATATTTGGACCTCTTTGAGGCCTTCGTTGGAAACGGGATTTCCTCATATAATGTTACACAGAAGAATTCTCAGTAACTTATTTGTGGTGTGTGTATTCAACTCACAGAGATGAACCTTCCTTCAGAAAGAGCAGATTTGAAACACTCTTTTTGTGGAGTTTCCATGTGGAGATTTCAATCGCTTTGAGACCAAAGGTAGAAAAGGAAACATCTTCGTATAACAACTAGACAGAATCATTCACAGAAACTACTTTGTGATGTGTGTGTTCAACTCAAGGAGTTTAACCTTTCTTTTGATGGAGCAGTTTGGAAACACTCTGTCTGTAAAGTCTGCAAGCAGATATTTGGACCTCTTTGAGGCCTTCGTTGGAAACGGGATTTCTTCATATAATGTTTGATAGGAGAAGTCTCAGTAACTTCTTTGTGCTGTGTGTATTCAACTCATAGAGTTGAACTTTCTTTAGAAGAGCAGATGTTAAACACCCTTTTTGTGGAATTTGCAGCTGGAGATTTCAAGCGCTTTGAGGCCTACGGTAGAAAAGGAAACATCTTCTTATAAAATCTAGACAGAATCATTCACAGAAACTTCTTTTTGATGTGTGTGTTCAGCTCACAGAGTTTAACCTTTCTTTTGATGGAGCAGTTTGGAAACACTCTGTTTGTAATGTCTGCAAGTGGATATTTGGACCTCTTTGAGGCCTTCATTGGAAACGGGATTTCTTCAAGTAATGTTCGAAAGAAGAATTCTCAGTAACTTATTTGTGGTGTGTGTATTGAACTCACAGAGTTGAACCTCCCTTTAGACAGAGCAGATTTGAAACACCCTATTTGTGCAGTTTCCAGTTGGAGATTTCAATCGCTTTGAGACAAATGTAGAAAAGGAAACATCTTCGTATAAAAACTAGACAGAATCATTCTCAGAAACTACTTTGTGATGTGTGCGTTCAACTCAAGGAGTTTAAGCTTTCTTTTCATAGAGTAGTTTGGAAACACTCTGTCTGTAAAGTCTGCAAGCAGATATTTGGACCTCTTTGAGGCCTTCGTTGGAAACGGGATTTCTTCATAGAACGGTAGAAAGAAGAATACTGAGTAAGTTCTTTGTGTTGCCTCTATTCAACTCACAGAGGTGAACTGTCCTTTAGACAGAGCAGATGTGAAACCCTCTTTTTGTGATATTTGCAGGTGGAGATTTCAAGCGCTTTTAGGCCAAATGTAGAAAAGGAAATATCTTCGTATAAAAACTAGACAGAATCATTCTCAGAAACTACTTTGTGATGTGTGCGTTCAATTCACAGAGTATAACCTTTCTTTTGATGGAGGAGTTTGGAGACACTGTGTTTGTAAAGTCTGCAAGTGGATATTTGGATCTCTTTGAGGCCTTCGTTGGAAACGGGATTTCCTCATATAATGTTACTCAGAAGAATTCTCAGTAACTTATTTGTGGTGTGTGTATTCAACTCACAGAGTTGAACCTTCCTTCAGAAAGAGCAGATTTGAAACACTCTTTTTGTGGAGTTTCCATGTGGAGATTTCAATCGCTTTGAGACCAAAGGTAGAAAAGGAAACATCTTCGTATAAAAACTAGACAGAATCATTCACAGAAACTACTTTGTGATGTGTGTGTTCAACTCAAGGAGTTTAACCTTTCTTTTGATGGAGCAGTTTGGAAACACTCTGTCTGTAAAGTCTGCAACCAGATATTTGGACCTCTTTGAGGCCTTCGTTGGAAACGGGATTTCTTCATATAATGTTTGATAGGAGAAGTCTCAGTAACTTCTTTGTGCTGTGTGTATTCAACTCATAGAGTTGAACTTTCCTTTAGAAGACCAGATGTTAAACCCCCTTTTTGTGGAATTTGCAGCTGGAGATTTCAAGCGCTTTGAGGCCTACGGTAGAAAAGGAAACATCTTCTTATAAAATCTAGACAGAATCATTCACAGAAACTTCTTTTTGATGTGTGTGTTCAGCTCACAGAGTTTAACCTTTCTTTTGATGGAGCAGTTTGGAAACACTCTGTTTGTAATGTCTGCAAGTGGATATTTGGACGTCTTTGAGGCCTTCGTTGGAAACGGGATTTCTTCATGTAATGTTCGACAGAAGAATTCTCAGTAACTTATTTGTGGTGTGTGTATTCAACTCACAGTGTTGAACCTTCCTTTAGACAGAGCAGATTTGAAACACCCTATTTGTGCAGTTTCCAGTTGGAGATTTCAATCGCTTTGAGACCAAATGTAGAAAAGGAAACATCTTCGTATAAAAACTTGACAGAATCATTCTCAGAAACTACTTTGTGATGTGTGCGTTCAACTCAAGGAGTTTAAGCTTTCTTTTCATAGAGTAGTTTGGAAACACTCTGTCTGTAAAGTGTGCAAGCAGATATTTGGACCTCTTTGAGGCCTTCGTTGGAAACGGGATTTCTTCATAGAACGCTAGAAAGAAGAATGCTGAGTAAGTTCTTTGTGTTGCCTCTATTCAACTCACAGAGGTGAACTGTCCTTTAGACAGAGCAGATGTGAAACCCTCTTTTTGTGATATTTGCAGATGGAGATTTCAAGCGCTTTTAGTCCAAATGTAGAAAAGGAAATATCTTCGTATAAAAACTAGACAGAATCATTCTCAGAAACTACTTTGTGATGTGTGCGTTCAATTCACAGAGTATAACCTTTCTTTTGATGGAGGAGTTTGGAGACACTGTCTTTGTAAAGTCTGTAAGTGGATATTTGGACCTCTTTGAGGACTTCGTTGGAAAGGGGATTTCCTCATATAATGTTACACAGAAGAATTCTCAGTAACTTATTTGTGGTGTGTGTATTCAACTCACAGAGTTGAACCTTCCTTCAGAAAGAGCAGATTTGAAACACTCTTTTTGTGGAGTTTCCATGTGGAGATTTCAATCGCTTTGAGACCAAAGGTAGAAAAGGAAACATCTTCGTATAAAAACTAGACAGAATCATTCACAGAAACTACTTTGTGATGTGTGTGTTCAACTCAAGGAGTTTAACCTTTCTTTTGATGGAGCAGTTTGGAAACACTCTGTCTGTAAAGTCTGCAAGTAGATATTTGGACCTCTTTGAGGCCTTCGTTGGAAACGGGATTTCTTCATATAATGTTTGATAGGAGAAGTCTCAGTAACTTCTTTGTGCTGTGTGTATTCAACTCATGGAGTTGAACTTTCCTTTAGAAGAGCAGATGTTAAACTCCCTTTTTGTGGAATTTGCAGCTGGAGATTTCAAGCGCTTTGAGGCCTACAGTAGAAAAGGAAACATCTTCTTCTAAAGTCTAGACAGAATCATTCACAGAAACTTCTTTTTGATGTGTTTGTTCAGCTCACAGGGTTTAAACTTTCTTTTGATGGAGCAGTTTGGAAACACTCTGTTTGTAATGTCTGCAAGTGGATATTTGGACCTCTTTGAGGCCTTCGTTGGAAACGGGATTTCTTCATGTAATGTTCGACAGAAGAATTCTCAGTAACTTATTTGTGGTGTGTGTATTCAACTCACAGAGTTGAACCTTCCTTTAGACAGAGCAGATTTGAAACAGCCTATTTGTGCAGTTTCCAGTTGGAGATTTCAATCGCTTTGAGACCAAATGTAGAAAAGGAAACATCTTCGTATAAAAACTAGACAGAATCATTCTCAGAAACTACTTTGTGATGTGTGCGTTCAACTCAAGGAGTTTAAGCTTTCTTTTCATAGAGTAGTTTGGAAACACTCTGTCTGTAAAGTCTGCAAGCAGATATTTGGACCTCTTTGGGGCCTTCGTTGGAAACGGGATTTCTTCATAGAACGCTAGAAAGAAGAATACTGAGTAAGTTCTTTGTGTTGCCTCTATTCAACTCACAGAGGTGAACTGTCCTTTAGACAGAGCAGATGTGAAACCCTCTTTTTGTGATATTTGCAGGTGGAGATTTCAAGCGCTTTTAGGCCAAATGTAGAAAAGGAAATATCTTCGTATAAAAACTAGACAGAATCATTCTCAGAAACTACTTTGTGATGTGTGCGTTCAATTCACAGAGTATAACCTTTCTTTTGATGGAGGAGTTTGGTGACACTGTCTTTGTAAAGTCTGCAAGTGGATATTTGGACCTCTTTGAGGCCTTCGTTGGAAACGGGATTTCCTCATATAATGTCACACAGAAGAATTCTCAGTAACTTATTTGTGGTGTGTGTATTCAACTCACAGAGTTGAACCTTCCTTCAGAAAGAGCAGATTTGAAACACTCTTTTTGTGGAGTTTCCATGTGGAGATTTCAATCGCATTGAGACCAAAGGTAGAAAAGGAAACATCTTCGTATAAAGACTAGACAGAATCATTCACAGAAACTACTTTGTGATGTGTGTGTTCAACTCAAGGAGTTTAACCTTTCTATTCATGGAGCAGTTTGGAAAAACTCTGTCTGTAAAGTCTGCAAGCAGATATTTGGACCTCTTTGAGGCCTTCTTTGGAAACGGGATTTCTTCATATAATGTTTGATAGGAGAAGTCTCAGTAACTTCTTTGTGCTGTGTGTATTCAACTCATAGAGTTGAACTTTCCTTTAGAAGAGCAGATGTTAAACACCGTTTTTGTGGAATTTGCAACTGGAGATTTCAAGCGCTTTGAGGCCTACGGTAGAAAAGGAAACATCTTATAAAATCTAGACAGAATCATTCACAGAAACTTCTTTTTGATGTGTGTGTTCAGCTCACAGAGTTTAACCTTTCTTTTGATGGAGCAGTTGGGAAACACACTGTTTGTAATGTCTGCAAGTGGATATTTGGACCTCTTTGAGGCCTTCGTTGGAAACGGGATTTCTTCCTGTAATGTTCGACAGAAGAATTCTCAGTAACTTATTTGTGGTGTGTGTATTCAACTCACAGAGTTGAAACTTCCTTTAGACAGAGCAGATTTGAAACACCCTATTTGTGCAGTTTCCAGTTGCAGATTTCAATCGCTTTGAGACCAAATGTAGAAAAGGAAACATCTTCGTATAAAAACTTGACAGAATCATTCTCAGAAACTACTTTGTGATGTGTGCGTTCAACTCAAGGAGTTTAAGCTTTCTTTTCATAGAGTAGTTTGGAAACACTCTGTCTGTAAAGTCTGCAAGCAGATATTTGGGCCTCTTTGAGGCCTTCGTTGGAAACGGGATTTCTTCATATAACGCTAGAAAGAAGAATACTGAGTAAGTTCTTTGTGTTGCCTCTATTCAACTCACAGAGGTGAACTGTCCTTTAGACAGAGCAGATGTGAAACCCTCTTTTTGTGATATTTGCAGGTGGAGATTTCAAGCGCTTTTAGGCCAAATGTAGAAAAGGAAATATCTTCGTATAAAAACTAGACAGAATCATTCTCAGAAACTACTTTGTGATGTGTGCGTTCAATTCACAGAGTATAACCTTTCTTTTGATGGAGGAGTTTGGAGACACTGTCTTTGTAAAGTCTGCAAGTGGATATTTGGACCTCTTTGAGGCCTTCGTTGGAAACGGGATTTCCTCATATAATGTTACACAGAAGAATTCTCAGTAACTTATTTGTGGTGTGTGTATTCAACTCACAGAGATGAACCTTCCTTCAGAAAGAGCAGATTTGAAACACTCTTTTTGTGGAGTTTCCATGTGGAGATTTCAATCGCTTTGAGACCAAAGGTAGAAAAGGAAACATCTTCGTATAACAACTAGACAGAATCATTCACAGAAACTACTTTGTGATGTGTGTGTTCAACTCAAGGAGTTTAACCTTTCTTTTGATGGAGCAGTTTGGAAACACTCTGTCTGTAAAGTCTGCAAGTAGATATTTGGACCTCTTTGAGGCCTTCGTTGGAAACGGGATTTCTTCATATAATGTTTGATAGGAGAAGTCTCAGTAACTTCTTTGTGCTGTGTGTATTCAACTCATAGAGTTGAACTTTCCTTTAGAAGAGCAGATGTTAAACACCCTTTTTGTGGAATTTGCAGCTGGAGATTTCAAGCGCTTTGAGGCCTACGGTAGAAAAGGAAACATCTTCTTATAAAATCTAGACAGAATCATTCACAGAAACTTCTTTTCGATGTGTGTGTTCAGCTCACAGAGTTTAACCTTTCTTTTGATGGAGCAGTTTGGAAACACTCTGTTTGTAATGTCTGCAAGTGGATATTTGGACCTCTTTGAGGCCTTCGTTGGAAACGGGATTTCTTCAAGTAATGTTCGACAGAAGAATTCTCAGTAACTTATTTGTGGTGTGTGTATTCAACTCAAAGAGTTGAACCTTCCTTTAGACAGAGCAGATTTGAAACACCCTATTTGTGCAGTTTCCAGTTGGAGATTTCAATCGCTTTGAGACCAAATGTAGAAAAGGAAACATCTTCGTATAAAAACTAGACAGAATCATTCTCAGAAACTACTTTGTGATGTGTGCGTTCAACTCAAGGAGTTTAAGCTTTCTTTTCATAGAGTAGTTTGGAAACACTCTGTCTGTAAAGTCTGCAAGCAGATATTTGGACCTCTTTGGGGCCTTCGTTGGAAACGGGATTTCTTCATAGAACGCTAGAAAGAAGAATACTGAGTAAGTTCTTTGTGTTGCCTCTATTCAACTCACAGAGGTGAACTGTCCTTTAGACAGAGCAGATGTGAAACCCTCTTTTTGTGATATTTGCAGGTGGAGATTTCAAGCGCTTTTAGGCCAAATGTAGAAAAGGAAATATCTTCGTATAAAAACTAGACAGAATCATTCTCAGAAACTACTTTGTGATGTGTGCGTTCAATTCACAGAGTATAACCTTTCTTTTGATGGAGGAGTTTGGAGACACTGTCTTTGTAAAGTCTGCAAGTGGATATTTGGACCTCTTTGAGGCCTTCGTTGGAAACGGGATTTCCTCATATAATGTTACACAGAAGAATTCTCAGTAACTTATTTGTGGTGTGTGTATTCAACTCACAGAGTTGAACATTCCTTCAGAAAGAGCAGATTTGAAACACTCTTTTTGTGGAGTTTCCATGTGGAGATTTCAATCGCTTTGAGACCAAAGGTAGAAAAGGAAACATCTTCGTATAAAAACTAGACAGAATCATTCACAGAAACTACTTTGTGATGTGTGTGTTCAACTCAAGGAGTTTAACCTTTCTTTTGATGGAGCAGTTTGGAAAAACTCTGTCTGTAAAGTCTGCAAGCAGATATTTGGACCTCTTTGAGGCCTTCGTTGGAAACGGGATTTCTTCATATAATGTTTGATAGGAGAAGTCTCAGTAACTTCTTTGTGCTGTGTGTATTCAACTCATAGAGTTGAACTTTCCTTTAGAAGAGCAGATGTTAAACACCCTTTTTGTGGAATTTGCAGCTGGAGATTTCAAGCGCTTTGAGGCCAAGGGTAGAAAAGGAAACATCTTCTTATAAAATCTATAGAGAATCATTCACAGAAACTACTTTGTGTTGTGTGTGTTCAGCTCACAGAGTTTAACCTTTCTTTTGATGGTGCAGTTTGGAAACACTCTGTTTGACAAGTCTGCAAGTGGATATTTGGACCTCTTTGAGGCCTTCGTTGGAAACGGGATTTCTTCATATAATGTTAGACAGAAGAATTCTCAGTAACTTATTTGTGGTGTGTGTATTGAACTCACAGAGTTGAACCTCCCTTTAGACAGAGCAGATTTGAAACACCCTATTTGTGCAGTTTCCAGTTGGAGATTTCAATCGCTTTGAGACAAATGTAGAAAAGGAAATATCTTCGTATAAAAACTAGACAGAATCATTCTCAGAAACTACTTTGTGATGTGTGCGTTCAACTCAAGGAGTTTAAGCTTTCTTTTCATAGAGTAGTTTGGAAACACTCTGTCTGTAAAGTCTGCAAGCAGATATTTGGACCTCTTTGAGGCCTTCGTTGGAAACGGGATTTCTTCATAGAACGGTAGAAAGAAGAATACTGAGTAAGTTCTTTGTGTTGCCTCTATTCAACTCACAGAGGTGAACTGTCCTTTAGACAGAGCAGATGTGAAACCCTCTTTTTGTGATATTTGCAGGTGGAGATTTCAAGCGCTTTTAGGCCAAATGTAGAAAAGGAAATATCTTCGTATAAAAACTAGACAGAATCATTCTCAGAAACTACTTTGTGATGTGTGCGTTCAATTCACAGAGGATAACCTTTCTTTTGATGGAGGAGTTTGGAGACACTGTCTTTGTAAAGTCTGCAAGTGGATATTTGGACCTCTTTGAGGCCTTCGTTGGAAACGGGATTTCCTCATATAATGTTACACAGAAGAATTCTCAGTAACTTATTTGTGGTGTGTGTATTCAACTCACAGAGTTGAACCTTCCTTCAGAAAGAGCAGATTTGAAACACTCTTTTTGTGGAGTTTCCATGTGGAGATTTCAATCGCTTTGAGACCAAAGGTAGAAAAGGAAACATCTTCGTATAAAAACTAGACAGAATCATTCACAGAAACTACTTTGTGATGTGTGTGTTCAACTCAAGGAGTTTAACCTTTCTTTTGATGGAGCAGTTTGGAAAAACTCTGTCTGTAAAGTCTGCAAGCAGATATTTGGACCTCTTTGAGGCCTTCGTTGGAAACGGGATTTCTTCATATAATGTTTGATAGGAGAAGTCTCAGTAACTTCTTTGTGCTGTGTGTATTCAACTCATTGAGTTGAACTTTCCTTTAGAAGAGCAGATGTTAAACACCCTTTTTGTGGAATTTGCAGCTGGAGATTTCAAGCGCTTTGAGGCCTACGGTAGAACAGGAAACATCTTCTTATAAAATCTAGACAGAATCATTCACAGAAACTTCTTTTTGATGTGTGTGTTCAGCTCACAGAGTTTAACCTTTCTTTTGATGGAGCAGTTTGGAAACACTCTGTTTGTAATGTCTGCAAGTGGATATTTGGACCTCTTTGAGGCCTTCGTTGGAAACGGGATTTCTTCAAGTAATGTTCGACAGAAGAATTCTCGGTAACTTATTTATGGTGTGTGTATTCAACTCACAGAGTTGAACCTTCCTTTAGACAGAGCAGATTTGAAACACCCTATTTGTGCAGTTTCCAGTTGGAGATTTCAATGGCTTTGAGACCAAATGTAGAAAAGGAAACATCTTCGTACAAAAACTAGACAGCATCATTCTCAGAAACTACTTTGTGATGTGTGCGTTCAACTCAAGGAGTTTAAGCTTTCTTTTCATAGAGTAGTTTGGAAACACTCTGTCTGTAAAGTCTGCAAGCAGATATTTGGACCTCTTTGAGGCCTTCGTTGGAAACGGGATTTCTTCATAGAACGCTAGAAAGAAGAATACTCAGTAACTTCTTTGTGTTGCCTCTATTCAACTCACAGAGGTGAACTGTCCTTTAGACAGAGCAGATGTGAAACCCTCTTTTTGTGATATTTGCAGGTGGAGATTTCAAGCGCTTTTAGGCCAAATGTAGAAAAGGAAATATCTTCGTATAAAAAGTAGACAGAATCATTCTCAGAAACTACTTTGTGATGTGTGCGTTCAATTCACAGAGTATAACCTTTCTTTTGATGGAGGAGTTTGGAGACACTGTCTTTGTAAAGTCTGCAAGTGGATATTTGGACCTCTTTGAGGCCTTCGTTGGAAACGGGATTTCCTCATATAATGTTACCCAGAAGAATTCTCAGTAACTTATTTGTGGTGTGTGTATTCAACTCACAGAGTTGAACCTTCCTTCAGAAAGAGCAGATTTGAAACACTCTTTTTGTGGAGTTTCCATGTGGAGATTTCAATCGCTTTGAGACCAAAGGTAGAAAAGGAAACATCTTCGTATAAAAACTAGACAGAATCATTCTCAGAAACTACTTTGTGATGTGTGCGTTCAACTCAAGGAGTTTAACCTTTCTTTTGATGGAGCAGTTTGGAAAGACTCTGTCTGTAAAGTCTGCAAGCAGATATTTGGACCTCTTTGAGGCCTTCGTTGGAAACGGGATTTCTTCATATAATGTTTGATACGAGAAGTCTCAGTAACTTCTTTGTGCTGTGTGTATTCAACTCATAGAGTTGAACTTTCCTTTAGAAGAGCAGATGTTAAACACCCTTTTTGTGGAATTTGCAGCTATAGATTTCAAGCGCTTTGAGGCCTACGGTAGAAAAGGAAACATCTTCTTATACAATCTAGACAGAATCATTCACAGAAACTTCTTTTTGATGTGTGTGTTCATCTCACAGAGTTTAACCTTTCTTTTGATGGAGCAGTTTGGAAAAACTGTGTTTGCATTCTCGGCAAATGGATATTTGGACCTCTTTGAGGCCTTCGTTGGAAACGGGATTTCTTCATGTAATGTTCGACAGAAGAATTCTCAGTAACTTATTTGTGGTGTGTGTATTCAACTCACAGAGTTGAATCTTCCTTTAGACAGAGCAGATTTGAAACTCCCTATTTGTGCAGTTTCCAGTTGGAGATTTCAATCGCTTTGGGGCCAATCATAGAAAAGGAAATATCTTCGTATAAAAACAAAACAGAATCATTCTCAGAAACTACTTTGTGATGTGTGCGTTCAACTCAAGGAGTTTAAGCTTTCTTTTCATAGAGTAGTTTGGAAACACTCTGTCTGTAAAGTCTGCAAGCAGATATTTGGACCTCTTTGAGGCCTTCGTTGGAAACGGGATTTCTTCATAGAACGGTAGAAAGAAGAATACTGAGTAAGTTCTTTGTGTTGCCTCTATTCAACTCACAGAGGTGAACTGTCCTTTAGACAGAGCAGATGTGAAACCCTCTTTTTGTGATATTTGCAGTGGAGATTTCAAGTGCTTTTAGGCCAAATGTAGAAAAGGAAATATCTTCGTATAAAAACTAGACAGAATCATTCTCAGAAACTACTTTGTGATGTGTGCGTTCAATTCACATAGTATAACCTTTCTTTGATGGAGGAGTTTGGAGACACTGTCTTTGTAAAGTCTGCAAGTGGATATTTGGACCTCTTTGAGGCCTTCGTTGGAAACGGGATTTCCTCATATAATGTTACACAGAAGAATTCTCAGTAACTTATTTGTGGTGTGTGTATTCAACTCACAGAGTTGAACCTTCCTTCAGAAAGAGCAGATTTGAAACACTCTTTTTGTGGAGTTTCCATGTGGAGATTTCAATCGCTTTGAGACCAAAGGTAGAAAAGGAAACATCTTCGTATAAAAACTAGACAGAATCATTCACAGAAACTACTTTGTGATGTGTGTGTTCAACTCAAGGAGTTTAACCTTTCTTTTGATGGAGCAGTTTGGAAACACTCTGTCTGTAAAGTCTGCAAGCAGATATTTGGACCTCTTTGAGGCCTTCGTTGGAAACGGGATTTTTTCATATAATGTTTGATAGGAGAAGTCTCAGTAACTTCTTTGTGCTGTGTGCAATCAACTCATAGAGTTGAACTTTCCTTTAGAAGAGCAGATGTTAAACACCCTTTTTGTGGAATTTGCAGCCGGAGATTTCAAGCGCTTTGAGGCCTACGGTAGAAAAGGAAACATCTTCTTATAAAATCTAGACAGAATCATTCACAGAAACTTCTTTTTGATGTGTGTGTTCAGCTCACAGAGTTTAACCTTTCTTTTGATGGAGCAGTTTGGAAACACACTGTTTGTAATGTCTGCAAGTGGATATTTGGACCTCTTTGAGGCCTTCGTTGGAAACGGGATTTCCTCAAGTAATGTTCGACAGAAGAATTCTCAGTAACTTATTTGTGGTGTGTGTATTCAACTCACAGAGTTGAACCTTCCTATAGACAGAGCAGATTTGAAACAGCCTATTTGTGCAGTTTCCAGTTGGAGATTTCAATCGCTTTGAGACCAAATGTAGAAAAGGAAACATCTTCATATAAAAACTAGACAGAATCATTCTCAGAAACTACTTTGTGATGTGTGCGTTCAACTCAAGGAGTTTAAGCTTTCTTTTCATAGAGTAGTTTGGAAACACTCTGTCTGTAAAGTCTGCAAGCAGATATTTGGACCTCTTTGAGGCCTTCGTTGTAAACGGGATTTCTTCATAGAACGCTAGAAAGAAGAATACTGAGTAAGTTCTTTGTGTTGCCTCTATTCAACTCACAGAGGTGAACTGTCCTTTAGACAGAGCAGATGTGAAACCCTCTTTTTGTGATATTTGCAGGTGGAGATTTCAAGCGCTTTTAGGCCAAATGTAGAAAAGGAAATATCTTCGTATAAAAACTAGACAGAATCATTCTCAGAAACTACTTTGTGATGTGTGCGTTCAATTCACAGAGTATAACCTTTCTTTTGATGGAGGAGTTTGGAGACACTGTCTTTGTAAAGTCTGCAAGTGGATATTTGGACCTCTTTGAGGCCTTCGTTGGAAACGGGATTTCCTCATATAATGTTACCCAGAAGAATTCTCAGTAACTTATTTGTGGTGTGTTTATTCAACTCACAGAGGTGAACCTTCCTTCAGAAAGAGCAGATTTGAAACACTCTTTTTGTGGAGTTTCCATGTGGAGATTTCAATCGCTTTGAGACCAAAGGTAGAAAAGGAAACATCTTCGTATAAAAACTAGACAGAATCATTCACAGAAACTACTTTGTGATGTGTGTGTTCAACTCAAGGAGTTTAACCTTTCTTTTGATGGAGCAGTTTGGAAACACTCTGTCTGTAAAGTCTGCAAGCAGATATTTGTACCTCTTTGAGGGCTTCGTTGGAAACGGGATTTCTTCATATAATGTTTGATAGGAGAAGTCTCAGTAACTTCTTTGTGCTGTGTGTATTCAACTCATAGAGTTGAACTTTCCTTTAGAAGAGCAGATGTTAAACACCCTTTTTGTGGAATTTGCAGCTGGAGATTTCAAGCGCTTTGAGGCCTACGGTAGAAAAGGAAACATCTTCTTATAAAACCTAGACAGAATCATTCACAGAAACTTCTTTTTGATGTTTGTGTTCAGCTCACAGAGTTTAACCTTTCTTTTGTTGGAGCAGTTTGGAAACACTCTGTTTGTAATATCTGCAAGTGGATATTTGGACCTCTTTGAGGCCTTCGTTGGAAACGGGATTTCTTCAAGTAATGTTCGACAGAAGAATTCTCAGTAACTTATTTGTGGTGTGTGTATTCAACTCACAGAGTTGAACCTTCCTTTAGACAGAGCAGATTTGAAACACCCTATTTGTGCAGTTTCCAGTTGGAGATTTCAAGAGCTTTGAGACCAAATGTAGAAAAGGAAACATCTTCGTATAAAAACTAGACAGAATCATTCTCAGAAACTACTTTGTGATGTGTGCGTTCAACTCAAGGAGTTTAAGCTTTCTTTTCATAGAGTAGTTTGGAAACACTCTGTCTGTAAAGTCTGCAAGCAGATATTTGGACCTCTTTAGGGCCTTCGGTTGGAAACGGGATTTCTTCATAGAACGCTAGAAAGAAGAATACTGAGTAAGTTCTTTGTGTTGCCTCTATTCAACTCACAGAGGTGAACTGTCCTTTAGACAGAGCAGATGTGAAACCCTCTTTTTGTGATATTTGCAGGTGGAGATTTCAAGCGCTTTTAGGCCAAATGTAGAAAAGGAAATATCTTCGTATAAAAACTAGACAGAATCATTCTCAGAAACTACTTTGTGATGTGTGCGTTCAATTCACAGAGTATAACCTTTCTTTTGATGGAGGAGTTTGGAGACACTGTCTTTGTAAAGTCTGCAAGTGGATATTTGGACCTCTTTGAGGCCTTCGTTGGAAACGGGATTTCCTCATATAATGTTACACAGAAGAATTCTCAGTAACTTATTTGTGGTGTGTGTATTCAACTCACAGAGTTGAACCTTCCTTCAGAAAGAGCAGATTTGAAACACTCTTTTTGTGGAGTTTCCATGTGGAGATTTCAATCGCATTGAGACCAAAGGTAGAAAAGGAAACATCTTCGTATAAAAACTAGACAGAATCATTCACAGAAACTACTTTGTGATGTGTGTGTTCAACTCAAGGAGTTTAACCTTTCTTTTGATGGAGCAGTTTGGAAACACTCTGTCTGTAAAGTCTGCAGGCAGATATTTGGACCTCTTTGAGGCCTTCGTTGGAATCGGGATTTCTTCATATAATGTTAGACAGAAGAAGTCTCAGTAACTTCTTTGTGCTGTGTGTATTCAACTCATAGAGTTGAACTTTCCTTTAGAAGAGCAGATGTTAAACACCCTTTTTGTGGAATTTGCAGCTGGAGATTTCAAGCGCTTTGAGGCCTACGGTAGAAAAGGAAACATCTTCTTATAAAATCTAGACAGAATCATTCACAGAAACTTCTTTTTGATGTGTGTGTTCAGCTCACAGAGTTTAACCTTTCTTTTGATGGAGCAGTTTGGAAACACTCTGTTTGTAATGTCTGCAAGTGGATATTTGGACCTCTTTGAGGCCTTCGCTGGAAACGGGATTTCTTCCTGTAATGTTCGACAGAAGAATTCTCAGTAACTTCTTTGTGGTGTGTGTATTCAACTCACAGAGTTGAACCTTCCTTTAGACAGAGCAGATTTGAAACAGCCTATTTGTGCAGTTTCCAGTTGGAGATTTCAATCGCTTTGAGACCAAATGTAGAAAAGGAAACATCTTCGTATAAAAACTAGACAGAATCATTCTCAGAAACTACTTTGTGATGTGTGCGTTCAACTCAAGGAGTTTAAGCTTTCTTTTCATAGAGTAGTTTGGAAACACTCTGTCTGTAAAGTCTGCAAGCAGATATTTGGACCTCTTTGAGGCCTTCGTTGGAAACGGGATTTCTTCATAGAACGGTAGAAAGAAGAATACTGAGTAAGTTCTTTGTGTTGCCTCTATTCAACTCACAGAGGTGAACTGTCCTTTAGACAGAGCAGATGTGAAACCCTCTTTTTGTGATATTTGCAGGTGGAGATTTCAAGCGCTTTGAGGCCAAATGTAGAAAAGGAAATATCTTCGTATAAAAACTAGACAGAATCATTCTCAGAAACTACTTTGTGATGTGTGCGTTCAATTCACAGAGTATAACCATTCTTTCGATGGAGGAGTTTGGAGACACTGTCTTTGTAAAGTCTGCAAGTGGATATTTGGACCTCTTTGAGGCCTTCGTTGGAAACGGGATTTCCTCATATAATGTTACACAGAAGAATTCTCAGTAACTTATTTGTGGTGTGTGTATTCAACTCACAGAGTTGAACCTTCCTTCAGAAAGAGCAGATTTGAAACACTCTTTTTGTGGAGTTTCCATGTGGAGATTTCAATCGCTTTGAGACCAAAGGTAGAAAAGGAAACATCTTCGTATAAAAACTGGACAGAATCATTCACAGAAACTACTTTGTGATGTGTGTGTTCAACTCAAGGAGTTTAACCTTTCTTTTGATGGAGCAGTTTGGGAACACTCTGTCTGTAATGTCTGCAAGCAGATATTTGGACCTCTTTGAGGCCTTCGTTGGAAACGGGATTTCTTCATATAATGTTTGATAGGAGAAGTCTCAGTAACTTCTTTGTGCTGTGTGTATTCAACTCATAGAGTTGAACTTTCCTTTAGAAGAGCAGATGTTAAACACCCTTTTTGTGGAATTTGCAGCTGGAGATTTCAAGCGCTTTGAGTCCTACGGTAGAAATGGAAACATCTTATAAAATCTTGACAGAATCATTTACAGAAACTTCTTTTTGATGTGTGTGTTCAGCTCACAGAGTTTAACCTTTCTTTTGATGGAGCAGTTTGGAAACACTCTGTTTGTAATGTCTGCAAGTGGATATTTGGACCTACTTTGAGGCCTTCGTTGGAAACGGGATTTCTTCAAGTAATGTTCGACAGAAGAATTCTCAGTAACTTATTTGTGGTGTGTGTATTCAACTCACAGAGTTGAACCTTCCTTTAGACAGAGCAGATTTGAAACACCCTATTTGTGCAGTTTCCAGTTGGAGATTTCAATCGCTTTGAGACCAAATGTAGAAAAGGAAACATCTTCGTATAAAAACTAGACAGAATCATTCTCAGAAACTACTTTGTGATGTGTGCGTTCAACTCAAGGAGTTTAAGCTTTCTTTTCATAGAGTAGTTTGGAAACACTCTGTAAAGTCTGCAAGCAGATATTTGGACCTCTTTGAGGCCTTCTTTGGAAAAGGGATTTCTTCATAGAACGCTAGAAAGAAGAATACTGAGTAAGTTCTTTGTGTTGCCTCTATTCAACTCACAGAGGTGAACTGTCCTTTAGACAGAGCAGATGTGAAACCCTCTTTTTGTGATATTTGCAGGTGGAGATTTCAAGCGCTCTTAGGCCAAATGTAGAAAAGGAAATATCTTCGTATAAAAACTAGACAGAATCATTCTCAGAAACTACTTTGTGATGTGTGCGTTCAATTCACAGAGTATAACCTTTCTTTTGATGGAGGAGTTTGGAGACACTGTCTTTGTAAAGTCTGCAAGTGGATATTTGGACCTCTTTGAGGCCTTCGTTGGAAACGGGATTTCCTCATGTAATGTTACACAGAAGAATTCTCAGTAACTTATTTGTGGTGTGTGTATTCAACTCACAGAGTTGAACCTTCCTTCAGAAAGAGCAGATTTGAAACACTCTTTTTGTGGAGTTTCCATGTGGAGATTTCAATCGCTTTGAGACCAAAGGTAGAAAAGGAAACATCTTCGTATAAAAACTAGACAGAATCATTCACAGAAACTACTTTGTGATGTGTGTGTTCAACTCAAGGAGTTTAACCTTTCTTTTGATGGAGCAGTTTGGAAACACTCTGTCTGTAACGTCTGCAAGCAGATACTTGGACCTCTTTGAGGCCTTCGTTGGAAACGGGATTTCTTCATATAATGTTTGATAGGAGAAGTCTCAGTAACTTCTTTGTGCTGTGTGTATTCAACTCATAGAGTTGAACTTTCCTTTAGAAGAGCAGATGTTAAACACCCTTTTTGTGGAATTTGCAGCTGGAGATTTCAAGCGCTTTGAGGCCTACGGTAGAAAAGGAAACATCTTCTTATAAAATCTAGACAGAATCATTCACAGAAACTTCTTTTTGATGTGTGTGTTCAGCTCACAGAGTTTAACCTTTCTTTTGATGGAGCAGTTTGGAAACACTCTGTTTGTAATGTCTGCAAGTGGATATTTGGACCTCTTTGAGGCCTTCTTTGGAAACGGGATTTCTTCAAGTAATGTTCGACAGAAGAATTCTCAGTAACTTATTTGTGGTGTGTGTATTCAACTCAAAGAGTTGAACCTTCCTTTAGACAGAGCAGATTTGAAACACCCTATTTGTGCAGTTTCCAGTTGGAGATTTCAATCGCTTTGAGACCAAATGTAGAAAAGGAAACATCTTCGTATAAAAACTAGACAGAATCATTCTCAGAAACTACT
Source organism: Homo sapiens (assembly GCF_000001405.40). Lineage (NCBI taxonomy): Eukaryota > Metazoa > Chordata > Mammalia > Primates > Hominidae > Homo > Homo sapiens. Next base: position 37,033,430 of record NC_000012.12, read on the forward strand.
TTGTGATGTGTGCATTCAACTCAAGGAGTTTAAGCTTTCTTTTCATAGAGTAGTTTGGAAACACTCTGTCTGTAAAGTCTGCAAGCAGATATTTGGACCTCTTTGAGGCCTTCGTTGGAAACGGGATTTCTTCATAGAATGCTAGAAAGAAGAATACTGAGTACGTTCTTTGTGTTGCCTCTATTCAACTCACAGAGGTGAACTGTCCTTTAGACAGAGCAGATGTGAAACCCTCTTTTTGTGATATTTGCAGGTGGAGATTTCAAGCGCTTTTAGGCCAAATGTAGAAAAGGAAATATCTTCGTATAAAAACTAGACAGAATCATTCTCAGAAACTACTTTGTGATGTGTGCGTTCAATTCACAGAGTATAACCTTTCTTTTGATGGAGGAGTTTGGAGACACTGTCTTTGTAAAGTCTGCAAGTGGATATTTGGACCTCTTTGAGGCCTTCGATGGAAACGGGATTTCCTCATATAATGTTACACAGAAGAATTCTCAGTAACTTATTTGTGGTGTGTGTATTCAACTCACAGAGTTGAACCTTCCTTCAGAAAGAGCAGATTTGAAACACTCTTTTTGAGGAGTTTCCATGTGGAGATTTCAATCGCTTTGAGACCAAAGGTAGAAAAGGAAACATCTTCTTATAAAAACTAGACAGAATCATTCACAGAAACTACTTTGTGATGTGTGTGTTCAACTCAAGGAGGTTAACCTTTCTTTTGATGGAGCGGTTTGGAAACACTCTGTCTGTAAAGTCTGCAAGCAGATATTTGGACCTCTTTGAGGCCTTCGTTGGAGAAGGGATTTCTTCATATAATGTTTGATAGGAGAAGTCTCAGTAACTTCTTTGTGCTGTGTGTATTCAACTCATAGAGTTGAACTTTCCTTTAGAAGAGCAGATGTTAAACACCCTTTTTGTGGAATTTGCAGCTGGAGATTTCAAGCGCTTTGAGGCCTACGGTAGAAAAGGAAACATCTTCTTATACAATCTAGACAGAATCATTCACAGAAACTTCTTTTTGATGTGTGTGTTCAGCTCACAGAATTTAACCTTTCCTTTGATGGAGCAGATTGGAAACACTCTGTTTGTAATGTCTGCAAGTGGATATTTGGACCTCTTTGAGGCCTTCGTTGGAAACGGGATTTATTCATGTAATGTTTGACAGAAGAATTCTCAGTAACTTATTTGTGGTGTGTGTATTCAACTCACAGAGTTGAACCTTCCTTTAGACAGAGCAGATTTGAAACACCCTATTTGTGCAGTTTCCAGTTGGAGATTTCAATCGCTTTGAGACCAAATGTAGAAAAGGAAACATCTTCGTATAAAAACTAGACAGAATCATTCTCAGAAACTACTTTGTGATGTGTGCGTTCAACTCAAGGAGTTTAAGGTTTCTTTTCATAGAGTAGTTGGGAAACACTCTGTCTGTAAAGTCTGCAATCAGATATTTGGACCTCTTTGAGGCCTTCGTTGGAAACGGGATTTCTTCATAGAACGCTAGAAAGACGAATACTGAGTAAGTTCTTTGTGTTGCCTCTATTCAACTCACAGAGGTGAACTGTCCTTTAGACAGAGCAGATGTGAAACCCTCTTTTTGTGATATTTGCAGGTGGAGATTTCAAGCGCTTTTAGGCCAAATGTAGAAAAGGAAATATCTTCGTATAAAAACTAGACAGAATCATTCTCAGAAACTACTTTGTGATGTGTGCGTTCAATTCACAGAGTATAACCTTTCTTTTGATGGAGGAGTTTGGAGACACTGTCTTTGTAAAGTCTGCAAGTGGATATTTGGACCTCTTTGAGGCCTTCGTTGGAAACGGGATTTCCTCATATAACGTTACACAGAAGAATTCTCAGTAACTTATTTGTGGTGTGTGTATTCAACTCACAGAGTTGAACCTTCCTTCAGAAAGAGCAGATTTGAAACACTCTTTTTGTGGAGTTTCCATGTGGAGATTTCAATCGCTTTGAGACCAAAGGTAGAAAAGGAAACATCTTCGTATAAAAACTAGACAGAATCATTCACAGAAACTACTTTGTGATGTGTGTGTTCAACTCAAGGAGTTTAACCTTTCTTTTGATGGAGCAGTTTGGAAACACTCTGTCTGTAAAGTCTGCAAGCAGATATTTGCACCTCTTTGAGGCCTTCGTTGGAAAAGGGATTTCTTCATATAATGTTTGATAGGAGAAGTCTCAGTAACTTCTTTGTGCTGTGTGTATTCAACTCATAGAGTTGAACTTTCCTTTAGAAGAGCAGATGTTAAACACCCTTTTTGTGGAATTTGCAGCTGGAGATTTCAAGCGCTTTGAGGCCTACGGTAGAAAAGGAAACATCTTCTTATAAAATCTAGACAGAATCATTCACAGAAACTTCTTTTTGATGTGTGTGTTCAGCTCACAGAATTTAACCTTTCTTTTGATGGAGCAGTTTGGAAACACACTGTTTGTAATGTCTGCAAGTGGATATTTGGACCTCTTTGAGGCCTTCGTTGGAAACGGGATTTCTTCCTGTAATGTTCGACAGAAGAATTCTCAGTAACTTATTTGTGGTGTGTGTATTCAACTCACAGAGTTGAACCTTCCTTTAGACAGAGCAGATTTGAAACACCCTATTTGTGCAGTTTCCAGTTGGAGATTTCAATCGCTTTGAGACCAAATGTAGAAAAGGAAACATCTTCGTATAAAAACTAGACAGAATCATTCTCAGAAACTACTTTGTGATGTGTGCGTTCAACTCAAGGAGTTTAAGCTTTCTTTTCATAGAGTAGTTTGGAAACACTCTGTCTGTAAAGTCTGCAAGCAGATATTTGACCTCTTTGAGGCCTTCGTTGGAAACGGGATTTCTTCATAGAACGCTAGAAAGAAGAATACTGAGTAAGTTCTTTGTGTTGCCTCTATTCAACTCACAGAGGTGAACTGTCCTTTAGACAGAGCAGATGTGAAACCCTCTTTTTGTGATATTTGCAGGTGGAGATTTCAAGCGCTTTTAGGCCAAATGTAGAAAAGGAAATATCTTCGTATAAAAACTAGACAGAATCATTCTCAGAAACTACTTTGTGATGTATGCGTTCAATTCACAGAGTATAACCTTTCTTTTGATGGAGGAGTTTGGAGACACTGTCTTTGTAAAGTCTGCAAGTGGATATTTGGACCTCTTTGAGGCCTTCGTTGGAAACGGGATTTCCTCATATAATGTTACACAGAACAATTCTCAGTAACTTATTTGTGGTGTCTGTATTCAACTCACAGAGTTGAACCTTCCTTCAGAAAGAGCAGATTTGAAACACTCTTTTGGTGGAGTTTCCATGTGGAGATTTCAATCGCTTTGAGACCAAAGGTAGAAAAGGAAACATCTTCGTATAAAAACTAGACAGAATCATTCACAGAAACTACTTTGTGATGTGTGTGTTCAACTCAAGGAGTTTAACCTTTCTTTTGATGTAGGAGTTTGGAAACACTCTGTCTGTAAAGTCTGCAAGGGGATATTTGGATCTCTTTGAGGCCTTCGTTGGAAACGGGATTTCTTCATATAATGTTTGATAGGAGAAGTCTCAGTAACTTCTTTGTGCTGTGTGTATTCAACTCATAGAGTTGAACTTTCCTTTAGAAGAGCAGATGTTAAAGACCCTTTTTGTGGAATTTGCAGCTGGAGGTTTCAAGCGCTTTGAGGCCTACTGTAGAAAAGGAAACATCTTCTTATAAAATCTAGACAGAATCATTCACAGAAACTTCTTTTTGATGTGTGTGTTCAGCTCACAGAGTTTAACCTTTCCTTTGATGGAGCAGTTTGGAAACACTCAGTTTGTAATATCTGCAAGTGGATATATGGACCTCTTTGAGGCCTTCGTTGGAAACGGGATTTCTTCATGTAATGTTCGACAGAAGAATTCTCAGCAACTTATTTGTGGTGTGTGTATTCAACTCACAGAGTTGAAACTTCCTTTAGACAGAGCAGATTTGAAACACCCTGTTTGTGCAGCTTCCTGTTGGAGATTTCAATGGCTTTGAGGCCAATCATAGAAACGGAAATATCTTCGTATAAAAACAAGACAGAATCATTCTCAGAAACTACTTTGCGTTGTGTGCGTTCAACTCAAGGAGTTTAAGCTTTCTTTTCATAGAATAGTTTGGAAACACTCTGTCTGTAAAGTCTGCAAGCAGATATTTGGACCTCTTTGAGGCCTTCGTTGGAAACGGGATTTCTTCATATAACGCTAGAAAGAAGAATACTGAGTAAGTTCTTTGTGTTGCCTCTATTCAACTCACAGAGGTGAACTGTCCTTTAGACAGAGCAGATGTGAAACCCTCTTTTTGTGATATTTGCAGGTGGAGATTTCAAGCGCTTTTAGGCCAAATGTAGAAAAGGAAATATCTTCGTATAAAAACTAGACAGAATCATTCTCAGAAACTACTTTGTGATGTGTGCGTTCAATTCACAGAGTATAACCTTTCTTTTGATGGAGGAGTTTGGAGACACTGTCTTTGTAAAGTCTGCAAGCGGATATTTGGACCTCTTTGAGGCCTTCGTTGGAAACGGGATTTCCTCATATAATGTTACACAGAAGAATTCTCAGTAACTTATTTGTGGTGTGTGTATTCAACTCACAGAGTTGAACCTTCCTTCAGAAAGAGCAGATTTGAAACACTCTTTTTGTGGAGTTTCCATGTGGAGATTTCAATCGCTTTGAGACCAAATGTAGAAAAGGAAACATCTTCGTATAAAAACTAGACAGAATCATTCACAGAAACTACTTTGTGATGTGTGTGTTCAACTCAAGGAGTTTAACCTTTCTTTTGATGGAGCAGTTTGGAAACACTCTGTCTGTAAAGTCTGCAAGTAGATATTTGGACCTCTTTGAGGCCTTCGTTGGAAACGGGATTTCTTCATATAATGTTTGATAGGAGAAGTCTCAGTAACTTCTTTGTGCTGTGTGTATTCAACTCACAGAGCTGAACTTTACTTTAGACAGAGCAGATGTTAAACACACTTTTTGTGGAATTTGGAGCTGGAGATTTCTAGCGCTTTGAGGCCTATGGTAGAAAAGGAAACAGCTTCTTATAAAATCTAGACAGAATCATTCACAGAAACTTCTTTTTGATGTGTGTGTTCATCTCACAGAGTTTAACCTTTCTTTTGACGGAGCAGTTTGCAAACACTGTGTTTGCCATGTCGGCAAGTGGATATTTGGACCTCTTTGCGGCCTTCGTTGGAAACGGGATTTCTTCATGTAATGTTCGACAGAAGAATTCTCAGTAACTTATTTGTGGTGTGTGTATTCAACTCACAGAGTTGAACCTTCCTTTAGACAGAGCAGATTTGAAACACCCTATTTGTGCAGTTTCCAGTTGGAGATTTCAATCGCTTTGAGGCCAATCGTAGAAACGGAAATATCTTCGTATAAAAACAAGACAGAATCATTCTCAGAAACTACTTTGTGATGTGTGCGTTCAACTCAAGGAGTTTAAGCTTTCTTTTCATAGAGTAGTTTGGAAACACTCTGTCTGTAAAGTCTGCAAGCAGATATTTGGACCTCTTTGGGGCCTTCGTTGGAAACGGGATTTCTTCATAGAACGCTAGAAAGAAGAATACTGAGTAAGTTCTTTGTGTTGCCTCTATTCAACTCACAAAGGTGAACTGTCCTTTAGACAGAGCAGATGTGAAACCCTCTTTTTGTGATATTTGCAGGTGGAGACTTCAAGCGCTTTTAGGCCAAATGTAGAAAAGGAAATATCTTCGTATAAAAACTAGACAGAATCATTCTCAGAAACTACTTTGTGATGTGTGCGTTCAATTCACAGAGTATAACCTTTCTTTTGATGGAGGAGTTTGGAGACACTGTCTTTGTAAAGTCTGCAAGTGGATATTTGGACCTCTTTGAGGCCTTCGTTGGAAACGGGATTTCCTCATATAATGTTACACAGAAGAATTCTCAGTAACTTATTTGTGGTGTGTTTATTCAACTCACAGAGGTGAACCTTCCTTCAGAAAGAGCAGATTTGAAACACTCTTTTTGTGGAGTTTCCATGTGGAGATTTCAATCGCTTTGAGACCAAAGGTAGAAAAGGAAACATCTTCGTATAAAAACTAGACAGAATCATTCACAGAAACTATTTTGTGATGTGTGTGTTCAACTCACAGAGTTTAACCTTTCTTTGGATGGAGCAGTTTGGAAACACTCTGTTTGTCACGTCTGCAAGTGGATATTTGGACCTCTTTGAGGCCTTCGTTGGAAACGGGATTTCTTCATATAATGTTTGAAAGGAGAAGTCTCAGTAACTACTTTGTGCTGTGTGTATTCAACTCATAGAGTTGAACTTTCCTTTAGAAGACCAGATGTTAAACACCCTTTTTGTGGAATTTGCAGCTGGAGATTTCAAGCGCTTTGAGGCCGACGGTAGAAAAGGAAACATCTTCTTATAAAATCTAGACAGAATCATTCACAGAAACTTCTTTTTGATGTGTGTGTTCATCTCACAGAGTTTAACCTTTCTTTTCACGGAGCAGTTTAGAAAAACTGTGTTTGCCATGTCGGCAAGTGGATATTTGGACGTCTTTGAGGCCTTCGTTGGAAACGGGATTTCTTCATGTAATGTTCGAGAGAAGATTTCTCAGTAACTTATTTGTGTTGTGTGTATTCAACTCACAGAGTTGAACCTTCCTTTAGACAGAGCAGATTTGAAACACCCTATTTGTGCACTTTCCAGTTGGAGATTTCAATCGCTTTGAGACCAAAGGTAGAAAAGGAAACATCTTCGTATAAAAACTAGACAGAATCATTCTCAGAAACTACTTTGTGATGTGTGCGTTCAACTCAAGGAGTTTAAGCTTTCTTTTCATAGAGTAGTTTGGAAACACTCTGTCTGTAAAGTCTGCAAGCAGATATTTGGACCTCTTTGAGGCCTTCGTTGGAAACGGGATTTCTTCATAGAACGGTAGAAAGAAGAATACTCAGTAACTTCTTTGTGTTGCCTCTATTCAACTCACAGAGGTGAACTGTCCTTTAGACAGAGCAGATGTGAAACCCTCTTTTTGTGATATTTGCAGGTGGAGATTTCAAGCGCTTTTTGTCCAAATGTAGAAAAGGAAATATCTTCGTATAAAAACTAGACAGAATCATTCTCAGAAACTACTTTGTGATGTGTGCATTCAATTCACAGAGTATAACCTTTCTTTTGATGGAGGAGTTTGGAGACACTGTCTTTGAAAAGTCTGCAAGTGGATATTTGGACCTCTTTCAGGCCTTCGTTGGAAACGGGATTTCCTCATATAATGTTACACAGAAGAATTCTCAGTAACTTATTTGTGGTGTGTGTATTCAACTCACAGATTTGAACCTTCCTTCAGAAAGAGCAGATTTGAAACACTCTTTTTGTGGAGTTTCCATGTGGAGATTTCAATCACTTTGAGACCAAAGGTAGAAAAGGAAACATCTTCGTATAAAAACTAGACAGAATCATTCACAGAAACTACTTTGTGATGTGTGTGTTCAACTCAAGGAGTTTAACCTTTCTTTTGATGGAGCAGTTTGGAAAAACTCTGTCTGTAAAGTCTGCAAGCAGATATTTGGTCCTCTTTGAGGCCTTCGTTGGAAACGGGATTTCTTCATATAATGTTTGATAGGAGAAGTCTCAGTAACTTCTTTGTGCTGTGTGTATTCAACTCATAGAGTTGAACTTTCCTTTAGAAGAGCAGATGTTAAACACCCTTTTTGTGGAATTTGCAGCTGGAGATTTCAAGCGCTTTGAGGCCTACGGTAGAAAAGGAAACATCTTCTTATAAAATCTAGACAGAATCATTCACAGAAACTTCTTTTTGATGTGTGTGTTCAGCTCACAGAGTTTAACGTTTCCTTTGATGGAGCAGTTTGGAAACACTCTGTTTGTAATGTCTGCAAGTGGATATTTGGACCTCTTGGAGGCCTTCGTTGGAAACGGGATTTCTTCAAGTAATGTTCGACAGAAGAATTCTCAGTAACTTATTTGTGGTGTGTGTATTCAGCTCACAGAGTTGAACCTTCCTTTAGACAGAGCAGATTTGAAACACCCTATTTGTGCAGTTTCCAGTTGGAGATTTCAATCGCTTTGAGACCAAATGTAGAAAAGGAAACATCTTCGTATAAAAACTAGACAGAATCATTCTCAGAAACTGCTTTGTGATGTGTGCGTTCAACTCAAGGAGTTTAAGCTTTCTTTTGATGGAGCAGTTTGGAAACACTTTGTCTGTAAAGTCTGCAAGCAGATATTTGGACCTCTTTGAGGCATTCGTTGGAAACGGGATTTCTTCATAGAACGCTAGAAAGAAGAATACTGAGTAAGTTCTTTGTGTTGCCTCTATTCAACTCACAGATGTGAACTGTCCTTTAGACAGAGCAGATGTGAAACCCTCTTTTTGTGATATTTGCAGTTGGAGATTTCAAGCGCTTTTAGGCCAAATGTAGAAAAGGAAATATCTTCGTATAAAAACTAGACAGAATCATTCTCAGAAACTACTTTGTGATGTGTGCGTTCAATTCACAGAGTATAACCTTTCTTTTGATGGAGGAGTTTGGAGACACTGTCTTTGTAAAGTCTGCAAGTGGATATTTGGACCTCTTTGAGGCCTTCGTTGGAAACGGGATTTCCTCATATAATGTTACACAGAAGAATTCTCAGTAACTTATTTGTGGTGTGTGTATTCAACTCACAGAGTTGAACCTTCCTTCAGAAAGAGCAGATTTGAAACACTCTTTTTGTGGAGTTTCCATGTGGAGATTTCAATCGCTTTGAGACCAAAGGTAGAAAAGGAAACATCTTCGTATAAAAACTAGACAGAATCATTCACAGAAACTACTTTGTGATGTGTGTGTTCAACTCAAGGAGTTTAACCTTTCTTTTGATGGAGCAGTTTGGAAACACTCTGTCTGTAAAGTCTGCAAGTAGATATTTGGACCTCTTTGAGGCCTTCGTTGGAAACGGGATTTCTTCATATAATGTTTGATAGGAGAAGTCTCAGTAACTTCTTTGTGCTGTGTGTATTCAACTCATAGAGTTGAACTTTCCTTTAGAAGAGCAGATGTTAAACACCCTTTTTGTGGAATTTGCAGGTGGAGATTTCAAGCGCTTTGAGGCCTACGGTAGAAAAGGAAACATCTTCTTATAATATCTAGACAGAATCATTCACAGAAACTTCTTTTTGATGTGTGTGTTCAGCTCACAGAGTTTAACCTTTCTTTTGATGGAGCAGTTTGGAAACACTCTGTTTGTAATGTCTGCAAGTGGATATTTGGACCTCTTTGAGGCCTTCGCTGGAAACGGGATTTCTTCCTGTAATGTTCGACAGAAGAATTCTCAGTAACTTATTTGTGGTGTGTGTATTCAACTCACAGAGTTGAACCTTCCTTTAGACAGAGCAGATTTGAAAACCCCTATTTGTGCAGTTTCCAGTTGGAGATTTCAATTGCTTTGAGACCAAATGTAGAAAAGGAAACATCTTCGTATAAAAACTAGAGAGAATCATTCTCAGAAACTACTTTGTGATGTGTGCGTTCAACTCAAGGAGTTTAAGCTTTCTTTTCATAGAGTAGTTTGGAAACACTCTGTCTGTAAAGTCTGCAAGCAGATATTTGGACCTCTTTGGGGCCTTCGTTGGAAACAGGATTTCTTAATAGAAGGCTAGAAAGAAGAATACTGAGTAAGTTCTTTGTGTTGCCTCTATTCAACTCACAGAGGTGAACTGTCCTTTAGACAGAGCAGATGTGAAACCCTCTTTTTGTGATATTTGCAGGTGGAGATTTCAAGCGCTTTTAGGCCAAATGTAGAAAAGGAAATATCTTTGTATAAAAACTAGACAGAATCATTCTCAGAAACTACTTTGTGATGTGTGCGTTCAATTCACAGAGTATAACCTTTCTTTTGATGGAGGAGTTTGGAGACACTGTCTTTGTAAAGTCTGCAAGTGGATATTTGGACCTCTTTGAGGCCTTCGTTGGAAACGGGATTTCCTCATATAATGTTACACAGAAGAATTCTCAGTAACTTATTTGTGGTGTGTGTATTCAACTCACAGAGTTGAACCTTCCTTCAGAAAGAGCAGATGTGAAACACTCTTTTTGTGGAGTTTCCATGTGGAGATTTCAATCGCTTTGAGACCAAAGGTAGAAAAGGAAACATCTTCGTATAAAAACTAGACAGAATCATTCACAGAAACTACTTTGTGATGTGTGTGTTTAACTCAAGGAGTTTAACCTTTCTTTTGATGGAGCAGTTTGGAAAAACTCTGTCTGTAAAGTCTGCAAGCAGATATTTGGACCTCTTTGAGGCCTTCGTTGGAAACGGGATTTCTTCATATAATGTTTGATAGGAGAAGTCTCAGTAACTTCTTTGTGCTGTGTGTATTCAACTCATAGAGTTGAACTTTCCTTTAGAAGAGCAGATGTTAAACACCCTTTTTGTGGAATTTGCAGCTGGAGATTTCAAGCGCTTTGAGGCCTACGGTAGAAAAGGAAACATCTTCTTATAAAATCTAGACAGAATCATTCACAGAAACTTCTTTTTGATGTGTGTGTTCAGCTAACAGAGTTTAACCTTTCTTTTGATGGAGCAGTTGGGAAACACACTGTTTGTAATGTCTGCAAGTGGATATTTGGACCTACTTTGAGGCCTTCGTTGGAAACGGGATTTCTTCCCTGTAATGTTCGACAGAAGAATTCTCAGTAACTTATTTGTGGTGTGTGTATTCAACTCACAGAGTTGAACCTTCCTTTAGACAGAGCAGATTTGAAACACCCTATTTGTGCAGTTTCCAGTTGGAGATTTCAATCGCTTTGAGACCAAATGTAGAAAAGGAAACATCTTCGTATAAAAACTAGACAGAATCATTCTCAGAAACTACTTTGTGTTGTGTGCGTTCAACTCAAGGAGTTTAAGCTTTCTTTTCATAGAGTAGTTTGGAAACACTCTGTCTGTAAAGTCTGCAAGCAGATATTTGAACCTCTTTGAGGCCTTCGTTGGAAACGGGATTTCTTCATAGAACGCTAGAAAGAAGAATACTGAGTACGTTCTTTGTGTTGCCTCTATTCAACTCACAGAGGTGAACTGTCCTTTAGACAGAGCAGATGTGAAACCCTCTTTTTGTGATATTTGCAGGTGGAGATTTCAAGCGCTTTTAGGCCAAATGTAGAAAAGGAAATATCTTCGTATAAAAACTAGACAGAATCATTCTCAGAAACTACTTTGTGATGTGTGCGTTCAATTCACAGAGTATAACCTTTCTTTTGATGGAGGAGTTTGGAGACACTGTCTTTGTAAAGTCTGCAAGTGGATATTTGGACCTCTTTGAGGCCTTCGTTGGAAACGGGATTTCCTCATATAATGTTACACAGAAGAATTCTCAGTAACTTATTTGTGGTGTGTGTATTCAACTCACAGAGTTGAACCTTCCTTCAGAAAGAGCAGATTTGAAACACTCTTTTTGTGGAGTTTCCATGTGGAGATTTCAATCGCTTTGAGACCAAAGGTAGAAAAGGAAACATCTTCGTATAAAAACTAGACAGAATCATTCACAGAAACTACTTTGTGATGTGTGTGTTCAACTCAAGGAGGTTAACCTTTCTTTTGATGGAGCAGTTTGGAAACACTCTGTCTGTAAAGTCTGCAAGCAGATATTTGCACCTCTTTGAGGCCTTCGTTGGAAACGGGATTTCTTCATATAATGTTTGATAGGAGAAGTCTCAGTAACTTCTTTGGGCTGTGTGTATTCAACTCATTGAGTTGAACTTTCCTTTAGAAGAGCAGATGTTAAACACCCTTTTTGTGGAATTTGCAGCTGGAGATTTCAAGCACTTTGAGGCCTACGGTAGAAAAGGAAACATCTTCTTATAAAATCTAGACAGAATCATTCACAGAAACTTCTTTCTGATGTGTGTGTTCATCTCACAGAGTTTAACCTTTCTTTTGACGGAGCAGTTTGCAAACACTGTGTTTGCATTTTCGGCAACTGGATATTTGGACCTCTTTCAGGCCTTCGTTGGAAACGGGATTTCTTCATGTAATGTTCGAGAGAAGAATTCTCAGTAACTTATTTGTGGTGTGCGTATTCAACTCACAGAGTTGAACCTTCCTTTACACAGTGCAGATTTGAAACACCCTATTTGTGCAGTTTCCAGTTGGAGATTTCAATCGCTTTGAGACCAAATGTAGAAAAGGAAACATCTTCGTATAAAAACTAGACAGAATCATTCTCAGAAACTACTTTGTGATGTGTGCATTCAACTCACGGAGTTTAAGCTTTCTGTTCATAGAGTAGTTTGGAAACACTCTGTCTGTAAAGTCTGCAAGCAGATATTTGGACCTCTTTGAGGCCTTCGTTGGAAACGGGAATTCTTCATAGAACGCTGGAAAGAAGAATACTGAGTAAGTTCTTTGTGTTGCCTCTATTCAACTCACAGAGGTGAACTGTCCTTTAGACAGAGCAGATGTGAAACCCTCTTTTTGTGATATTTGCAGGTGGAGATTTCAAGCGCTTTTAGGCCAAATGTAGAAAAGGAAATATCTTCGTATAAAAACTAGACAGAATCATTCTCAGAAACTACTTTGTGATGTGTGCGTTCAATTCACAGAGTATAACCTTTCTTTTGATGGAGGAGTTTGGAGACACTGTCTTTGTAAAGTCTGCAAGTGGATATTTGGACCTCTTTGAGGCCTTCGTTGGAAACGGGATTTCCTCATATACTGTTACACAGAAGAATTCTCAGTAACTTATTTGTGGTGTGTGTATTCAACTCACAGAGTTGAACCTTCCTTCAGAAAGAGCAGATTTGAAACACTCTTTTTTGTGGAGTTTCCATGTGGAGATTTCAATCGCTTTGAGACCAAAGGTAGAAAAGGAAACATCTTCGTATAAAAACTAGACAGAAACATTCACAGAAACTACTTTGTGATGTGTGTGTTCAACTCAAGGAGTTTAACCTTTCTTTTGATGGAGCAGTTTGGAAAAACTCTGTCTGTAAAGTCTGCAAGCAGATATTTGGACCTCTTTGAGGCCTTCGTTGGAAACGGGATTTCTTCATATAATGTTTGATAGGAGAAGTCTCAGTAACTTCTTTCTGCTGTGTTTATTTAACTCATAGAGTTGAACTTTCCTTTAGAAGAGCAGATGTTAAACACCCTTTTTGTGGAATTTGCAGCTGGAGATTTCAAGCGCTTTGTGGCGTACTGTAGAAAAGGAAACATCTTCTTATAAAATCTAGACAGAATCATTCACAGAAACATCTTTTTGATGTGTGTGTTCAGCTCCACAGGGTTTAACCTTTCTTTTGATGGAGCAGTTTGGAAACACTCTGTTTGTAATGTCTGCAAGTGGATATTTGGACCTCTTTGAGGTCTTCGTTGGAAACGGGATTTCTTCATGTAATGTTCGACAGAAGAATTCTCAGTAACTTATTTGTGGTGTGTGTATTCAACTCACAGAGTTGAAACTTCCTTTAGACAGAGCAGATTTGAAACACCCTATTTGTGCAGTTTCCAGTTGGAGATTTCAATCGCTTTGAGACCAAATGTAGAAAAGGAAACATCTTCGTATAAAAACTTGACAGAATAATTCTCAGAAACTACTTTGTGATGTGTGCGTTCAACTCAAGGAGTTTAAGCTTTCTTTTCATAGAGTAGTTTGGAAACACTCTGTAAAGTCTGCAAGCAGATATTTGGACCTCCTTGAGGCCTTCGTTGGAAACGGGATTTCTTCATAGAACGCTAGAAAGAAGAATACTGAGTAAGTTCTTTGTGTTGCCTCTATTCAACTCACAGAGGTGAACTGTCCTTTAGACAGAGCAGATGTGAAACCCTCTTTTTGTGATATTTGCAGGTGGAGATTTCAAGCGCTTTTAGGCCAAATGTAGAAAAGGAAATATCTTTGTATAAAAACTAGAGAGAATCATTCTCAGAAACTACTTTGTGATGTGTGCGTTCAATTCACAGAGTATAACCTTTCTTTTGATGGAGGAGTTTGGAGACACTGTCTTTGTAAAGTCTGCAAGTGGATATTTGGACCTCTTTGAGGCCTTCGTTGGAAACGGGATTTCCTCATATAATGTTACACAGAAGAATTCTCAGTAACTTATTTGTGGTGTGTGTATTCAACTCACAGGGTTGAACCTTCCTTCAGAAAGAGCAGATTTGAAACACTCTTTTTGTTGGGTTTCCATGTGGAGATTTCAATCGCTTTGAGACCAAAGGTAGAAAAGGAAACATCTTCGTATAAAAACTAGACAGAATCATTCACAGAAACTACTTTGTGATGTGTGTGTTCAACTCAAGGAGTTTAACCTTTCTTTTGATGGAGCAGTTTGGAAACACTCTGTCTGTAAAGTCTGCAAGCAGATATTTGGACCTCTTTGAGGCCTTCGTTGGAAACGGGATTTCTTCATATAATGTTTGATAGGAGAAGTCTCAGTAACTTCTTTGTGCTGTGTGTATTCAACTCATAGAGTTGAACTTTCCTTTAGAAGAGCAGATGTTAAACACCCTTTTTGTGGAATTTGCAGCTGGAGATTTCAAGCGCTTTGAGGCCTACGGTAGAAAAGGAAACATCTTCTTATAAAATCTAGACAGAATCATTCACAGAAACTTCTTTTTGATGTGTGTGTTCAGCTCACAGAGTTTACCCTTTCTTTTGATGGAGCAGTTTGGAAACACTCTTTAATGTCTGCAAGTGGACATTAGGACCTCTTTGAGGCCTTCGTTGGAAACGGGATTGCTTCATGTAATGTTCAACAGAAGAATTCTCAGTAACTTATTTGTGGTGTGTGTATTCAACTCACAGAGTTGAACCTTCCCTTAGACAGAGCAGATTTGAAACACACTATTTGTGCAGTTTCCAGTTGGAGATTTCAATCGCTTTGAGGCCAATCGTAGAAACGGAAATATCTTCGTATAAAAACAAGACAGAATCATTCTCAGAAACTACTTTGTGATGTGTGCGGTTCAACTCAAGGAGTTTAAGCTTTCTTTTCATAGAGTAGTTTGGAAACACTCTGTCTGTAAAGTCTGCAAGCAGATATTTGGACCTCTTTGAGGCCTTCATTGGAAACGGGATTTCTTCATATAACGCTAGAAAGAAGAATACTGAGTAAGTTCTTGGTGTTGCCTCTATTCAACTCACAGAGGTGAACTGTCCTTTAGACAGAGCAGATGTGAAACCCTCTTTTTGTGATATTTGCAGGTGGAGGTTTCAAGCGCTTTTAGGCCAAATGTAGAAAAGGAAATATCTTCGTATAAAAACTAGACAGAATCATTCTCAGAAACTACTTTGTGATGTGTGCGTTCAATTCACAGAGTATAACCTTTCTTTTGATGGAGGAGTTTGGAGACACTGTCTTTGTAAAGTCTGCAAGTGGATATTTGGACCTCTTTGAGGCCTTCGTTGGAAACGGGATTTCCTCATATAATGTTACACAGAAGAATTCTCAGTAACTTATTTGTGGTGTGTGTATTCAACTCACAGAGTTGAAACTTCCTTCAGAAAGAGCAGATTTGAAACACTCTTTTTGTGGAGTTTCCATGTGGAGATTTCAATCGCTTTGAGACCAAAGGTAGAAAAGGAAACATTCTTCGTATAAAAACTAGACAGAATCATTCACAGAAACTACTTTGTGATGTGTGTGTTCAACTCAAGGAGTTTAACCTTTCTTTTGATGGAGCAGTTTGGAAATACTCTGTCTGTAAAGTCTGCAAGCAGATATTTGGACCTCTTTGAGGCCTTCGTTGGAAACGGGATTTCTTCATATAATGTTTGATAGGAGAAGTCTCAGTAACTTCTTTGTGCTGTGTGTATTCAACTCATAGAGTTGAACTTTCCTTTAGAAGAGCAGATGTTAAACACCCTTTTTGTGGAATTTGCAGCTGGAGATTTCAAGCGCTTTGAGGCCTACGGTAGAAAAGGAAACATCTTCTTATAAAATCTAGACAGAATCATTCACAGAAACTTCTTTTTGATGTGTGTGTTCAGCTCACAGAGTTTAACCTTTCTTTTGATGGAGCAGTTTGGAAACACACTGTTGGTAATGTCTGCAAGTGGACATTTGGACCTCTTTGAGGCCTTCGTTGGAAACGGGATTTCTTCATGTAATGTTCGACAGAAGAATTCTCAGTAACTTATTTGTGGTGTGTGTATTCAACTCACAGAGTTGAACCTTCCTTTAGACAGAGCAGATTTGAAACAGCCTATTTGTGCAGTTTCCAGTTGGAGATTTCAATCGCTTTGAGACCAAATGTAGAAAAGGAAACATCTTCGTATAAAAACTAGACAGAATCATTCTCAGAAACTACTTTGTGATGTGTGCGTTCAACTCAAGGAGTTTAACCTTTCTTTTCATAGAGTAGTTTGGAAACACTCTGTCTGTAAAGTCTGCAAGCAGATATTTGGACCTCTTTGAGGCCTTCGTTGGAAACGGGATTTCTTCACAGAACGCTAGAAAGAAGAATACTGAGTAAGTTCTTTGTGTTGCCTCTATTCAACTCACAGAGGTGAACTGTCCTTTAGACAGAGCAGATGTGAAACCCTCTTTTTGTGATATTTGCAGGTGGAGATTTCAAGCGCTTTTAGGCCAAATGTAGAAAAGGAAATATCTTCGTATAAAAACTAGACAGAATCATTCTCAGAAACTACTTTGGGATGTGTGCGTTCAATTCACAGAGTATAACCTTTCCTTTTGATGGAGGAGTTTGGAGACACTGTCTTTGTAAAGTCTGCAAGTGGATATTTGGACCTCTTTGAGGCCTTCGTTGGAAACGGGATTTCCTCATATAATGTTACACAGAAGAATTCTCAGTAACTTATTTGTGGTGTGTGTATTCAACTCACAGAGTTGAACCTTCCTTCAGAAAGAGCAGATTTGAAACACTCTTTTTGTGGAGTTTCCATGTGGAGATTTCAATCGCTTTGAGACCAAAGGTAGAAAAGGAAACATCTTCGTATAAAAACTAGACAGAATCATTCACAGAAACTACTTTGTGATGTGTGTGTTCAACTCAAGGAGTTTAACCTTTCTTTTGATGGAGCAGTTTGGAAACACTCTGTCTGTAAAGTCTGCAAGCAGACATTTGGACCTCTTTGAGGCCTTCGTTGGAAACGGGATTTCTTCATATAATGTTTGATAGGAGAAGTCTCAGTAACTTCTTTGTGCTGTGTGTATTCAACTCATAGAGTTGAACTTTCCTTTAGAAGAGCAGATGTTAAACACCCTTTTTGTGGAATTTGCAGCTGGAGATTTCAAGCGCTTTGAGGCCTACGGTAGAAAAGGAAACATCTTCTTATAAAATCTAGACAGAATCATTCACAGAAACTTCTTTTTGATGTGTGTGTTCAGCTCACAGAGTTTAACCTTTCTTTTGATGGAGTAGTTTGGAAACACTCTGTTTGTAATGTCTGCAAGTGGATATTTGGACCTCTTTGAGGCCTTCGTTGGAAACGGGATTTCTTCACATGTAAATGTTCGAGTCAGAAGAATTCTCAGTAACTTATTTGTGGTGTGTGTATTCAACTCACAGAGTTGAACCTTCCTTTCGACAGAGCAAATTTGAAACACCCTATTTGTGCAGTTTCCAGTTGGAGATTTCAATCGCTTTGAGACCAAATGTAGAAAAGGAAACATCTTCGTATAAAAACTAGACAGAATCATTCTCAGAAACTCTTTGTGATGTGTGCGTTCAACTCAAGGAGTTTAAGCTTTCTTTTCATAGAGTAGTTTGGAAACACTCTGTCTGTAAAGTGTGCAAGCAGATATTTGGACCTCTTTGGGGCCTTCGTTGGAAACGGGATTTCTTCATAGAACGCTAGAAAGAAGAATACTGAGTAAGTTCTTTGTGTTGCCTCTATTCAACTCACAGAGGTGAACTGTCCTTCAGACAGAGCAGATGTGAAACCCTCTTTTTGTGATATTTGCAGGTGGAGATTTCAAGCGCTTTTAGGCCAAATGTAGAAAAGGAAATATCTTCGTATAAAAACTAGACAGAATCATTCTCAGAAACTACTTTGTGATGTGTGCGTTCAATTCACAGAGTATAACCTTTCTTTTGATGGAGGAGTTTGGAGACACTGTCTTTGTAAAGTCTGCAAGTGGATATTTGGACCTCTTTGAGGCCTTCGTTGGAAACAGGATTTCCTCATATAATGTGACACAGAAGAATTCTCAGTAACTTATTTGTGGTGTGTGTATTCAACTCACAGAGTTGAACCTTCCTTCAGAAAGAGCAGATTTGAAACACTCTTTTTGTGGAGTTTCCATGTGGAGATTTCAATCGCATTGAGACCAAATGTAGAAAAGGAAACATCTTCGTATAAAAACAAGACAGATTCATTCACAGAAACTAGTTTGTGATGTGTGTGTTCAACTCAAGGAGTTTAAACTTTCTTTTGATGGAGCAGTTTGGAAAAACTCTGTCTGTAAAGTCTGCAAGCAGATATTTGGACCTCTTTGAGGCCTTCGTTGGAAACGGGATTTCTTCATATAATGTTTGATAGGAGAAGTCTCAGTAACTTCTTTGTGCTGTGTGTATTCAACTCATAGAGTTGAACTTTCCTTTAGAAGAGCCGATCTTAAACACCCTTTTTGTGGAATTAGCAGCTGGAGATTTCAAGCGCTTTGAGGCTTACGGTAGAAAAGGAAACATCTTCGTATAAAATCTAGACAGAATCATTCACAGAAACTTCTCTTTGATGTGTGTGTTCAGCTCACAGAGTTTAACCTTTCTTTTGATGGGGCAGTTTGGAAACACACTGTTTGTAATGTCTGCAAGTGGATATTTGGACCTCTTTGAGGCCTTCGTTGGAAACGGGATTTCTTCCTGTAATGTTCGACAGAAGAATTCTCAGTAACTTATTTGTGGTGTGTGTATTCAACTCACAGAGTTGAACCTTCCTTTAGACAGAGCAGATTTGAAACACCCTATTTGTGCAGTTTCCAGTTGGAGATTTCAATCGCTTTGAGACCAAATGTAGAAAAGGAAACATCTTCGTATAAAAACTAGACAGAATCATTCTCAGAAACTACTTTGTGATGTGTGCGTTCAACTCAAGGTGTTTAAGCTTTCTTTTCATAGAGTAGTTTGGAAACACTCTGTCTGTAAAGTCTGCAAGCAGATATTTGGACCTCTTTGTGGCCTTCGTTGGAAACGGGATTTCTTCATAGAACGCTAGAAAGAAGAATACTGAGTAAGTTCTTTGTGTTGCCTCTATTCAACTCACAGAGGTGAACTGTCCTTTAGACAGAGCAGATGTGAAACCCTCTTTTTGTGATATTTGCAGGTGGAGATTTCAAGCGCTTTTAGGCCAAATGTAGAAAAGGAAATATCTTCGCATAAAAACTAGACAGAATCATTCTCAGAAACTACTTTGTGATGTGTGCGTTCAATTCACAGAGTATAACCTTTCTTTTGATGGAGGAGTTTGGAGACACTGTCTTTGTAAAGTCTGCAAGTGGATATTTGGATCTCTTTGACGCCTTCGTTGGAAACGGGATTTCCTCATATAATGTTACACAGAAGAATTCTCAGTAACTTATTTGTGGTGTGTGTATTCAACTCACAAGAGTTGAACCTTCCTTCAGAAAGAGCAGATTTGAAACACTCTTTTTGTGGAGTTTCCATGTGGAGATTTCAATCGCTTTGAGACCAAAGGTAGAAAAGGAAACATCTTCGTATAAAAACTAGACAGAATCATTCACAGAAACTACTTTGTGATGTGTGTGTTCAACTCAAGGAGTTTAACCTTTCTTTTGATGGAGCAGTTTGGAAAAACTCTGTCTGTAAAGTCTGCAAGCAGATATTTGGACCTCTTTGAGGCCTTCGTTGGAAACGGGATTTCTTCATATAATGTTTGATAGGAGAAGTCTCAGTAACTTCTTTGTGCTGTGTGTATTCAACTCATAGAGTTGAACTTTCCTTTAGAAGAGCAGATGTTAAACACCCTTTTTGTGGAATTTGCAGCTGGAGATTTCAAGCGCTTTGAGGCCTACGGTAGAAAAGGAAACATCTTCTTATAAAATCTAGACAGAATCATTCACAGAAACTTCTTTTTGATGTGTGTGTTCAGCTCACCGAGTTTAACCTTTCTTTTGATGGAGCAGTTTGGAAACACTCTGTTTGTAATGTCTGCAAGTGGATATTTGGACCTCTTTGAGGCCTTCGTTGGAAACGGGATTTCTTCAAGTAATGTTCGACAGAAGAATTCTCAGTAACTTATTTGTGGTGTGTGTATTCAACTCACAGAGTTGAACCTTCCTTTAGACAGAGCAAATTTGAAACACCCTATTTGTGCAGTTTCCAGTTGGAGATTTCAATCGCTTTGAGACCAAATGTAGAAAAGGAAACATCTTCGTATAAAAACTAGACAGAATCATTCTCAGAAACTACTTTGTGATGTGTGCGTTCAACTCAAGGAGTTTAAGCTTTCTTTTCATAGAGTAGTTTGGAAACACTCTCTCTGTAAAGTCTGCAAGCAGATCTTTGACCTCTTTGAGGCCTTCGTTGGAAACGGGATTTCTTCATAGAACGCTAGAAAGAAAAATACTGAGTAAGTTCTTTGTGTTGCCTCTATTCAACTCACAGAGGTGAACTGTCCTTTAGACAGAGCAGATGTGAAACCCTCTTTTTGTGATATTTGCAAGTGGAGATTTCAAGCACTTTTAGGCCAAATGTAGAAAAGGAAATATCTTCGTATAAAAACCAGACAGAATCATTCTCAGAAACTACTTTGTGATGTGTGCGTTCAATTCACAGAGTATAACCTTTCTTTTGATGGAGGAGTTTGGAGACACTGTCTTTGTAAAGTCTGCAAGTGGATATTTGGACCTCTTTGAGGCCTTCGTTGGAAACGGGATTTCCTCATATAATGTTACCCAGAAGAATTCTCAGTAACTTATTTGTGGTGTGTGTATTCAACTCACAGAGATGAACCTTCCTTCAGAAAGAGCAGATTTGAAACACTCTTTTTGTGGAGTTTCCATGTGGAGATTTCAATCGCTTTGAGACCAAAGGTAGAAAAGGAAACATCTTCGTATAAAAACTAGACAGAATCATTCACAGAAACTACTTTGTGATGTGTGTGTTCAACTCAAGGAGTTTAACCTTTCTTTTGATGGAGCAGTTTGGAAACACTCTGTCTGTAAAGTCTGCAAGCAGATATTTGGACCTCTTTGAGGCCTTCGTTGGAAACGGGATTTCTTCATATAATGTTTGATAGGAGAAGTCTCAGTAACTTCTTTGTGCTGTGTGTATTCAACTCATAGAGTTGAACTTTCCTTTAGAAGAGCAGATGTTAAACACCCTTTTTGTGGAATTTGCAGCTGGAGATTTCAAGCGCTTTGAGGCCTACGGTAGAAAAGGAAACATCTTCTTATAAAATCTAGACAGAATCATTCACAGAAACTTCTTTTTGATGTGTGTGTTCAGCTCACAGAGTTTAACCTTTCTTTTGATGGAGCAGTTTGGAAACACTCTGTTTGTAATGTCTGCAAGTGGATATTTGGACCTCTTTGAGGCCTTCGCTGGAAACGGGATTTCTTCCTGTAATGTTCGACAGAAGAATTCTCAGTAACTTATTTGTGTTGTGTGTATTCAACTCACAGAGTTGAACCTTCCTTTAGACAGAACAGATTTGAAACACCCTATTTGTGCAGTTTACAGTTAGAGATTTCAATTGCTTTGAGGCCATAGAAACGGAAATACATTTGTATAAAAACAAGACAGAATCATTATCAGAAACTACTTTGTGATGTGTGCGTTCAACTCAAGAAGTTTAAGCTTTCTTTTCATAGAGTAGTTTGGAAACACTCTGTCTGTAAAGTCTGCAAGCAGATATTTGGACCTCTTTGAGGCCTTTGTTGGAAACGGCATTTCATCATATAACGCTATAAAGAAGAAAACTGAGTAAGTTCTTTGTGTTGCCTCTATTCAACTCACAGAGGTGAACTGTCCTTTAGACAGAGCAGATGTGAAACCCTCTTTTTGTGATATTTGCAGGTGGAGATTTCAAGCGCTTTTAGGCCAAATGTAGAAAAGGAAATATCTTCGTATAAAAACTAGACAGAATCATTCTCAGAAACTACTTTGTGATGTGTGCGTTCAATTCACAGAGTATAACCTTTCTTTTGTTGGAGGAGTTTGGAGACACTGTCTTTGTAAAGTCTGCAAGCAGATATTTGGACCTCTTTGAGGCCTTCGTTGGAAACGGGATTTCTTCATATAATGTTTGATAGGAGAATTCTCAGTAACTTATTTGTGGTGTGTGTATTCAACTCACAGAGATGAACCTTCCTTCAGAAAGAGCAGATTTGAAACACTCTTTTTGTGGAGTTTCCATGTGGAGATTTCAATCGCTTTGAGACCAAAGGTAGAAAAGGAAACATCTTCGTATAACAACTAGACAGAATCATTCACAGAAACTACTTTGTGATGTGTGTGTTCAACTCAAGGAGTTTAACCTTTCTTTTGATGGAGCAGTTTGGAAAAACTCTGTCTGTAAAGTCTGCAAGCAGATATTTGGACCTGTTTGAGGCCTTCGTTGGAAACGGGATTTCTTCATATAATGTTTGATAGGAGAAGTCTCAGTAACTTCTTTGTGCTGTGTGTATTCAACTCATAGAGTTGAACTTTCCTTTAGAAGTGCAGATGTTAAACACCCTTTTTGTGGAATTTGCAGCTGGAGACTTCAAGCGCTTTGAGGCCTACGGTAGAAAAGGAAACATCTTCTTAGAAAATCTAGACAGAATCATTCACAGAAACTTCTTTTTGATGTGTGTGTTCAGCTCACAGAGTTTAACCTTTCTTTTGATGGAGCAGTTTGGAAACACTCTGTTTGTAATGTCTGCAAGTGGATATTTGGACCTCTTTGAGGCCTTCGTTGGAAACGGGATTTCTTCCTGTAATGTTCGACAGAAGAATTCTCAGTAACTTATTTGTGGTGTGTGTATTCAACTCACAGAGTTGAACCTTCCTTTAGACAGAGCAGATTTGAAACACCCTATTTGTGCAGTTTCCAGTTGGAGATTTCAATCGCTTTGAGACCAAATGTAGAAAAGGAAACATCTTCGTATAAAAACTAGACAGAATCATTCTCAGAAACTACTTTGTGATGTGTGCGTTCAACTCAAGGAGTTTAAGCTTTCTTTTCATAGAGTAGTTTGGAAACACTCTGTCTGTAAAGTCTGCAAGCAGATATTTGGACCTCTTTGGGGCCTTCGTTGGAAACGGGATTTGTTCATAGAACGCTAGAAAGAAGAATACTGAGTAAGTTCTTTGTGTTGCCTCTATTCAACTCACAGAGGTGAACTGTCCTTTAGACAGAGCAGATGTGAAACCCTCTTTTTGTGATATTTGCAGGTGGAGATTTCAAGCGCTTTTAGGCCAAATGTAGAAAAGGAAATATCTTCGTATAAAAACTAGACAGAATCATTCTCAGAAACCACTTTGTGATGTGTGCGTTCAATTCACAGAGTATAACCTTTCTTTTGATGGAGGAGTTTGGAGACCCTGTCTTTGTAAAGTCTGCAAGTGGATATTTGGACCTCTTTGAGGCCTTCGTTGGAAACGGGATTTCCTCATATAATGTTACACAGAAGAATTCTCAGTAACTTATTTGTGGTGTGTGTATTCAACTCACAGAGATGAACCTTCCTTCAGAAAGAGCAGATTTGAAACACTCTTTTTGTGGAGTTTCCATGTGGAGATTTCAATCGCTTTGAGAACAAAGGTAGAAAAGGAAACATCTTCGTATAACAACTAGACAGAAATCATTCACAGAAACTACTTTGTGATGTGTGTGTTCAACTCAAGGAGTTTAACCTTTCTTTTGATGGAGCAGTTTGGAAACACTCTGTCTGTAAAGTCTGCAAGCAGATATTTAGACCTCTTTGAGGCCTTCGTTGGAAACGGGATTTCTTCATATAATGTTTGATAGGAGAAGTCTCAGTAACTTCTTTGTGCTGTGTGTATTCAACTCATAGAGTTGAACTTTCCTTTAGAAGAGCAGATGTTAAACACCCTTTTTGTGGAATTTGCAGCTGGAGATTTCAAGCGCTTTGAGGCCTACGGTAGAAAAGGAAACATCTTCTTATAAAATCTAGACAGAATCATTCACAGAAACTTCTTTTTGATGTGTGTGTTCAGCTCACAGAGTTTAACCTTTCTTTTGATGGAGCAGTTTGGAAACACTCTGTTTGTAATGTCTGCAAGTGGATATTTGGACCTCTTTGAGGCCTTCGCTGGAAACGGGATTTCTTCCTGTAATGTTCGACAGAAGAATTCTCAGTAACTTATTTGTGGTGTGTGTATTCAACTCACAGAGTTGAACCTTCCTTTAGAAAGAGCAGATTTGACACACCCTATTTGTGCAGTTTCCAGTTGGAGATTTCAATCGCTTTGAGACCAAATGTAGAAAAGGAAACATCTTCGTATAAAAACTAGACAGAATCATTCTCAGAAACTACTTTGTGATGTGTGCGTTCAACTCAAGGAGTTTAAGCTTTCTTTTCATAGAGTACTTTGGAAACACTCTGTCTGTGAAGTCTGCAAGCAGATATTTGGACCTCTTTGAGGCCTTCGTTGGAAACGGGATTTCTTCATAGAGCGCTAGAAAGAAGAATACTGAGTAAGTTCTTTGTGTTGCCTCTATTCAACTCACAGAGGTGAACTGTCCTTTAGACAGAGCAGATGTGAAACCCTCTTTTTGTTTTATTTGCAGGTGGAGATTTCAAGCGCTTTTAGGCCAAATGTAGAAAAGGAAATATCTTCGTATAAAAACTAGACAGAATCATTCTCAGAAACTACTTTGTGATGTGTGCGTTCAATTCACAGAGTATAACCTTTCTTTTGATGGAGGAGTTTGGAGACACTGTCTTTGTAAAGTCTGCAAGTGGATATTTGGACCTCTTTGAGGCCTTCGTTGGAAACGGGATTTCCTCATATAATGTTACCCAGAAGAATTCTCAGTAACTTATTTTTGCTGTGTGTATTCAACTCACAGAGTTGAACCTTCCTTCAGAAAGAGCAGATATGAAACACTCTTTTTGTGGAGTTTCCATGTGGAGATTTTAATCGCTTTGAGACCAAAGGTAGAAAGGGAAACATCTTCGTATAAAAACTAGACAGAATCATTCACAGAAACTACTTTGTGATGTGTGTGTTCAACTCAAGGAGTTTAACCTTTCTTTTGATGGAGCAGTTTGGAAACACTCTGTCTGTAAAGTCTGCAAGCAGATATTTAGACCTCTTTGAGGCCTTCGTTGGAAACGGGATTTCTTCATATAATGTTTGATAGGAGAAGTCTCAGTAACTTCTTTGTGCTGTGTGTATTCAACTCATAGAGTTGAACTTTCCTTTAGAAGAGCAGATGTTAAACACCCTTTTTGTGGAATTTGCAGCTGGAGATTTCAAGCGCTTTGAGGCCTACGGTAGAAAAGGAAACATCTTCTTATAAAATCTAGACAGAATCATTCACAGAAACTACTTTGTGATGTGTGTGTTCAACTCAAGGAGTTTAACCTTTCTTTTGATGGAGCAGTTTGGAAACACTCTGTTTGTAATGTCTGCAAGTGGATATTTGGACCTCTTTGAGGCCTTCGTTGGAAACGGGATTTCTTCAAGTAATGTTCGACAGAAGAATTCTCAGTAACTTATTTGTGGTGTGTGTATTCAACTCACAGAGTTGAACCTTCCTTTAGACAGAGCAGATTTGAAAAAGCCTATTTGTGCAGTTTCCAGTTGGAGATTTCAATCGCTTTGAGACCAAATGTAGAAAAGGAAACATCTTCGTATAAAAACTAGACAGAATCATTCTCAGAAACTACTTTGTGATGTGTGCGTTTAACTCAAGGAGTTTAAGCTTTCTTTTCATAGAGTAGTTTGGAAACACTCTGTCTGTAAAGTCTGCAAGCAGATATTTGGACCTCTTTGAGGCCTTCGTTGGAAACGGGATTTCTTCATAGAACGCTAGAAAGAAGAATACTGAGTAAGTTCTTTGTGTTGCCTCTATTCAACTCACAGAGGTGAACTGTCCTTTAGAAAGAGCAGATGTGAAACCCTCTTTTTGTGATATTTGCAGGTGGAGATTTCAAGCGATTTTAGGCCAAATGTAGAAAAGGAAATATCTTCGTATAAAAACTAGACAGAATCATTCTCAGAAACTACTTTGTGATGTGTGCGTTCAATTCACAGAGTATAACCTTTCTTTTGATGGAGGAGTTTGGAGACACTGTCTTTGTAAAGTCTGCAAGTGGATATTTGGATCTCTTTGAGGCCTTCGTTGGAAACGGGATTTCCTCATATAATGTTACACAGAAGAATTCTCACTAACTTATTTGTGGTGTGTGTATTCAACTCACAGAGATGAACCTTCCTTCAGAAAGAGCAGATTTGAAACACTCTTTTTGTGGAGTTTCCATGTGGAGATTTCAATCGCTTTGAGACCAAAGGTAGAAAAGGAAACATCTTCGTATAACAACTAGACAGAATCATTCACAGAAACTACTTTGTGATGTGTGTGTTCAACTCAAGGAGTTTAACCTTTCTTTTGATGGAGCAGTTTGGAAACACTCTGTCTGTAAAGTCTGCAAGCAGATATTTGGACCTCTTTGAGGCCTTCGTTGGAAACGGGATTTCTTCATATAATGTTTGATAGGAGAATTCTCAGTAACTTCTTTGTGCTGTGTGTATTCAACTCACAGAGCTGAACTTTACTTTAGACAGAGCATATGTTTAACACACTTTTTGTGGAATTTGCAGCTGGAGATTTCTAGCGCTTTGAGGCCTATGGTAGAAAAGGAAACATCTTCTTATAAAATCTAGACAGAATCATTCACAGAAACTACTTTTTGATGTGTGTGTTCATCTCACAGGGTGTAACCTTTCTTTTGACGGAGCAGTTTGCAAATACTGTGTTTGCCATGTCGGCAAGTGGATATTTGGACCTCTTTGAGGCCTTCTTTGGAAACGGGATTTCTTCATGTAATGTTCGACAGAAGAATTCTCAGTAACTTATTTGTGGTGTGTGTATTCAACTCACAGAGTTGAACCTTCCTTTAGACAGAGCAGATTTGAAACACCCTATTTGTGCAGTTTCCATTTGGAGATTTCAATCGCTTTGAGACCAAATGTAGAAAAGGAAACATCTTCGTATAAAAACTAGACAGAATCATTCTCAGAAACTACTTTGTGATGTGTGCGTTCAACTCAAGGAGTTTAAGCTTTCTTTTCATAGAGTAGTTTGGAAACACTCTGTCTGTAAAGTCTGCAAACAGATATTTGGACCTCTTAGGGGCCTTCGTTGGAAACGGGATTTCTTCATAGAACGCTAGAAAGAAGAATACTGAGTAAGTTCTTTGTGTTGCCTCTATTCAACTCACAGAGGTGAACTGTCCTTTAGACAGAGCAGATGTGAAACCCTCTTTTTGTGATATTTGCAGGTGGAGATTTCAAGCGCTTTGAGGCCAAATGTAGAAAAGGAAATATCTTCGTATAAAAACTAGACAGAATCATCCACAGAAACTTCTTTTTGATGTGTGTGTTCAGCTCACATTGTTTAACCTTTCCTTTGATGGAGCAGTTTGGAAACACTCTGTTTGTAATGTCTGCAAGTGGATATTTGGACCTCTTTGAGGCCTTCGTTGGAAACGGGATTTCCTCATATAATGTTACACAGAAGAATTCTCAGTAACTTATTTGTGGTGTGTGTATTCAACTCACAGAGTTGAACCTTCCTTCAGAAAGAGCAGATTTGAAACACTCTTTTTGTGGAGTTTCCATGTGGAGATTTCAGTCGCTTTGAGACCAAAGGTAGAAAAGGAAACACCTTCGTATAAAAACTAGACAGAATCATTCACAGAAACTACTTTGTGATGGGTGTGTTCAACTCACAGAGTTTAACCTTTCTTTTGATGGAGCAGTTTGGAAACACTCTGTTTGTCACGTCTGCAAGTGGATATTTGGACCTCTTTGAGGCCTTCGTTGGAAACGGGATTTCTTCATATAATGTTTGATAGGAGAAGTCTCAGTAACTTCTTTGTGCTGTGTGTATTCAACTCATAGAGTTGAACTTTCCTTTAGAAGAGCAGATGTTAAACACCCATTTTGTGGAATTTGCAGCTGGAGATTTCAAGCGCTTTGAGGCCTATGGTAGAAAAGGAAACATCTTCTTATAAAATCTAGACAGAATCATTCACAGAAACTTCTTTTTGATGGGTGTGTTCAGCTCACAGAGTTTAACCTTTCCTTTGATGGAGCAGTTTGGAAACACTCTGTTTGTAATGTCTGCAAGTGGATATTTGGACCTCTTTGAGGCATTCGTTGGAAACGGGATTTCT
Source organism: Homo sapiens (assembly GCF_000001405.40). NCBI lineage: Eukaryota > Metazoa > Chordata > Mammalia > Primates > Hominidae > Homo > Homo sapiens. The sequence continues at coordinate 37,061,761 of NC_000012.12, forward strand.
TCATGTAATGTTCGACAGAAGAATTCTCAGTAACTTATTTGTGGTGTGTGTATTCAACTCACAGAGTTGAACCTTCCTTTAGACAGAGCAGATTTGAAACACCCTATTTGTGCAGTTTCCAGTTGGAGATTTCAATCGCTTTGAGACCAAATGTAGAAAAGGAAACATCTTCGTATAAAAACTAGACAGAATCATTCTCAGAAACTACTTTGTGATGTGTGCGTTCAACTCAAGGAGTTTAAGCTTTCTTTTCATAGAGTAGTTTGGAAACACTCTGTCTGTAAAGTGTGCAAGCAGATATTTGGACCTCTTTGGGGCCTTCGTTGGAAACGGGATTTCTTCATAGAACGCAAGAAAGAAGAATACTGAGTAAGTTCTTTGTGTTGCCTCTATTCAACTCACAGAGGTGAACTGTCCTTTAGACAGAGCAGATGTGAAACCCTCTTTTTGTGATATTTGCAGGTGGAGATTTCAAGCACTTTTAGGCCAAATGTAGAAAAGGAAATATCTTCGTATAAAAACTAGACAGAATCATTCTCAGAAACTACTTTGTGATGTGTGCGTTCAATTCACAGAGTATAACCTTTCTTTTGATGGAGGAGTTTGGAGACACTGTCTTTGTAAAGTCTGCAAGTGGATATTTGGACCTCTTTGAGGCCTTCGTTGGAAACGGGATTTCCTCATATAATGTTACACAGAAGAATTCTCACTAACTTATTTGTGGTGTGTGAATTCAACTCACAGAGTTGAACCTTCCTTCAGAAAGAGCAGATTTGAAACTCTTTTTGTGGAGTTTCCATGTGGAGATTTCAATCGCTTTGAGACCAAAGGTAGAAAAGGAAACATCTTCGTATAAAAACTAGACAGAATCATTCACAGAAACTACTTTGTGATGTGTGTGTTCAACTCAAGGAGTTTAACCTTTGTTTTGATGGAGCAGTTTGGAAACACTCTGTCTGTAAAGTCTGCAAGCAGATATTTGGACCTCTTTGAGGCCTTCGTTGGAAACGGGATTTCTTCATATAATGTTTGATAGGAGAAGTCTCAGTAACTTCTTTGTGCTGTGTGTATTCAACTCATAGAGTTGAACTTTCCTTTAGAAGAGCAGATGTTAAACACCCTTTTTGTGGAATTTGCAGCTGGAGATTTCAAGCGCTTTGAGGCCTACGGTAGAAAAGGAAACATCTTCTTATAAAATCTAGACAGAATCATTCACAGAAACTTCTTTTCGATGTGTGTGTTCAGCTCACAGAGTTTAACCTTTCTTTTGATGGAGCAGTTTGGAAACACTCTGTTTGTAATGTCTGCAAGTGGATATTTGGACCTCTTTGAGGCCTTCGTTGGAAACGGGATTTCTTCAAGTAATGGTCGACAGAAGAATTCTCAGTAACTTATTTGTTGTGTGTGTATTCAACTCACAGAGTTGAACCTTCCTTTAGACAGAGCAGATTTGAAACACCCTATTTGTGCAGTTTCCAGTTGGAGATTTCAATCGCTTTGAGACCAAATGTAGAAAAGGAAACATCTTCGTATAAAAACTAGACAGAATCATTCTCAGAAACTACTTTGTGATGTGTGCGTTCAACTCAAGGAGTTTAAGCTTTCTTTTCATAGAGTAGTTTGGAAACACTCTGTCTGTAAAGTCTGCAAGCAGATATTTGGACCTCTTTGGGGCCTTCGTTGGAAACGGGATTTCTTCATAGAACGCTAGAAAGACGAATACTGAGTAAGTTCTTTGTGTTGCCTCTATTCAACTCACAGAGGTGAACTGTCCTTTAGACAGAGCAGATGTGAAACCCTCTTTTTGTGATATGTGCAGGTGGAGATTTCAAGCGCTTTTAGGCCAAATGTAGAAAAGGAAATATCTTCGTATGAAAACTAGACAGAATCATTCTCAGAAACTACTTTGTGATGTGTGCGTTCAATTCACAGAGTATAACCTTTCTTTTGATGGAGGAGTTTGGAGACACTGTCTTTGTAAAGTCTGCAAGTGGATATTTGGACCTCTTTGAGGCCTTCGTTGGAAACGGGATTTCCTCATATAATGTTACCCAGAAGAATTCTCAGGAACTTATTTGTGGTGTGTGTATTCAACTCACAGAGTTGAACCTTCCTTCAGAAAGAGCAGATTTGAAACACTCTTTTTGTGGAGTTTCCATGTGGAGATTTCAATCGCTTTGAGACCAAAGGTAGAAAAGGAAACATCTTCGTATAGAAACTAGACAGAATCATTCACAGAAACTACTTTGTGATGTGTGTGTTCAACTCAAGGAGTTTAACCTTTCTTTTGATGGAGCAGTTTGGAAACACTCTGTCTGTAAAGTCTGCAAGCAGATATTTGGACCTCTTTGAGGCCTTCGTTGGAAACGGGATTTCTTCATATAATGTTTGATAGGAGAAGTCTCAGTAACTTCTTTGTGCTGTGTGTATTCAACTCATAGAGTTGAACTTTCCTTTAGAAGAGCAGATGTTAAACACCCTTTTTGTGGAATTTGCAGCTGGAGGTTTCAAGCGCTTTGAGGCCTACGGTAGAAAAGGAAACATCTTCTTATAAAATCTAGACAGAATCATTCACAGAAACTTCTTTTTGATGTGTGTGTTCAGCTCACAGCAGTTTAACCTTTCTTTTGATGGAGCAGTTGGGAAACACACTGTTTGTAATGTCTGCAAGTGGATATTTGGAGCTCTTTGAGGCCTTCGTTGGAAACGGGATTTCTTCCTGTAATGTTCGACAGAAGAATTCTCAGTAACTTATTTGTGGTGTGTGTATTCAACTCAAAGAGTTGAACCTTCCTTTAGACAGAGCAGATTTGAAACACCCTATTTGTGCAGTTTCCAGTTGGAGATTTCAATCGCTTTGAGACCAAATGTAGAAAAGGAAACATCTTCGTATAAAAACTAGACAGAATCATTCTCAGAAACTACTTTGTGATGTGTGCGTTCAACTCAAGGACTTTAAGCTTTCTTTTCATAGAGTAGTTTGGAAACACTCTGTCTGTAAAGTCTGCAAGCAGATATTTGGACCTCTTTGAGGCCTTCGTTGGAAACGGGATTTCTTCATAGAACGCTAGAAAGAAGAATACTGAGTAAGTTCTTTGTGTTGCCTCTATTCAACTCACAGAGGTGAACTGTCCTTTAGACAGAGCAGATGTGAAACCCTCTTTTTGTGATATTTGCAGGTGGAGATTTCAAGCGCTTTTAGGCCAAATGTAGAAAAGGAAATATCTTCGTATAAAAACTAGACAGAATCATTCTCAGAAACTACTTTGTGATGTGTGCGTTCAATTCACAGACTATAACCTTTCTTTTGATGGAGGAGTTTGGAGACACTGTCTTTGTAAAGTCTGCAAGTGGATATTTGGACCTCTTTGTGGCCTTCATTGGAAACGGGATTTCCTCGTATAATGTTACACAGAAGAATTCTCAGTAACTTATTAGTGGTGTGTGTATTCAACTCACAGAGTTGAACCTTCCTTCACAAAGAGCAGATTTGAAACACTCTTTTTGTGGAGTTTCCATGTGGAGATTTCAATCGCATTGAGACCAAAGGTAGAAAAGGAAACATCTTCGTATAAAAACTAGACAGAATCATTCACAGAAACTACTTTGTGATGTGTGTGTTCAACTCAAGGAGTTTAACCTTTCTTTTGATGGAGCAGTTTGGAAACACTCTGTCTGTAAAGTCTGCAAGCAGATATTTGGACCTCTTTGAGGCCTTCGTTGGAAACGGGATTTCTTCATATAATGTTTGATAGGAGAAGTCTCAGTAACTTCTTTGTGCTGTGTGTATTCAACTCATAGAGTTGAACTTTCCTTTAGAAGAGCAGATGTTAAACACCCTTTTTGTGGAATTTGCAGCTGGAGATTTCAAGCGCTTTGAGGCCTACGGTAGAAAAGGAAACATCTTCTTATAAAATCTAGACAGAATCATTCACAGAAACTTCTTTTTCATGTGTGTGTTCAGCTCACAGAGTTTAACCTTTCTTTTGATGGAGCAGTTTGGAAACACTCTGTTTGTAACGTCTGCAGGTGGATATTTGGACCTCTTTGAGGCCTTCGTTGGAAACGGGATTTCTTCAAGTAATGTTCGACAGAAGAATTCTCAGTAACTTATTTGTGGTGTGTGTATTCAACTCACAGAGTTGAACCTTCCTTTAGACAGAGCAGATTTGAAACACCCTATTTGTGCAGTTTCCAGTTGGAGATTTCAATCGCTTTGAGACCAAATGTAGAAAAGGAAACATCTTCGTATAAAAACTAGACAGAATCATTCTCAGAAACTACTTTGTGATGTGTGCGTTCAACTCAAGGAGTTTAAGCTTTCTTTTCATAGAGTAGTTTGGAAACACTCTGTCTGTAAAGTCTGCAAGCAGATATTTGGACCTCTTTGGGGCCTTCGTTGGAAACGGGATTTCTTCATAGAACGCTAGAAAGAAGAATACTGAGTAAGTTCTTTGTGTTGCCTCTATTCAACTCACAGAGGTGAACTGTCCTTTAGACAGAGCAGGTGTGAAACCCTCTTTTTGTGATATTTGCACGTGGAGATTTCAAGCGCTTTTAGGCCAAACGTAGAAAAGGAAATATCTTCGTATAAAAACTAGACAGAGTCATTCTCAGAAACTACTTTGTGATGTGTGCGTTCAATTCACAGAGTATAACCTTTCTTTTGATGGAGGAGTTTCAAGACACTGTCTTTGTAAAGTCTGCAAGTGGATATTTGGACCTCTTTGAGGCCCTCGTTGGAAACGGGATTTCCTCATATAATGTTACACAGAAGAATTCTCAGTAACTTATTTGTGGTGTGTGTATTCAACTCACAGAGTTGAACCTTCCTTCAGAAATAGCAGGTTTGAAACACTCTTTTTGTGGAGTTTCCATGTGGAGATTTCAATCGCTTTGAGACCAAAGGTAGAAAAGGAAACATCTTCGTATAAAAACTAGACAGAATCATTCACAGAAACTACTTTGTGATGTGTGTGTTCAACTCAAGGAGTTTAACCTTTCTTTTGATGGAGCAGTTTGGAAAAACTCTGTCTGTAAAGTCTGCAAGCAGATATTTGGACCTCTTTGGGGCCTTCGTTGGAAACGGGATTTCTTCATAGAATGCTAGAAAGAAGAAGTCTCAGTAACTTCTTTGTGCTGTGTGTACTCAACGCATAGAGTTGAACTTTCCTTTAGAAGAGCAGATGTTAAACACCCTTTTTGTGGAATTTGCAGCTGGAGATTTCAAGCGCTTTGTGGCCTACGGTAGAAAAGGAAATATGTTCTTATAAAATCTAGACAGAATCATTCACAGAAACTTCTTTTCGATGTGTGTGTTCAGCTCACAGAGTTTAACCTTTCTTTTGATGGAGCAGTTTGGAAACACTCTGTTTGTAATGTCTGCAAGTGGATATTTGGACCTCTTTGAGGCCTTCGTTGGAAACGGGATTTCTTCAAGTAATGTTCGACAGAAGAATTCTCAGTAACTTATTTGTGGTGTGTGTATTCAACTCACAGAGTTGAACCTTCCATTAGACAGAGCAGATTTGAAACACCCTATTTGTGCAGTTTCCAGTTGGAGATTTCAATCGCTTTGAGACCAAATGTAGAAAAGGAAACATCTTCGTATAAAAACTAGACAGAATCATTCTCAGAAACTACTTTGTGATGTGTGCGTTCAACTCAAGGAGTTTAAGCTTTCTTTTCATAGAGTAGTTTGGAAACACTCTGTCTGTAAAGTCTGCAAGCAGATATTTGGACCTCTTTGAGGCCTTCGTTGGAAACGGGATTTGTTCAGAGAAGGCTAGAAAGAAGAATACTGAGTAAGTTCTTTGTGTTGCCTCTATTCAACTCACAGAGGTGAACTGTCCTTTAGACAGAGCAGATGTGAAACCCTGTTTTTGTGATATTTGCACGTGGAGATTTCAAGCGCTTTCAGGCCAAATGTAGAAAAGGAAATATCTTCGTATAAAAACTAGACAGAATCATTCTCAGAAACTACTTTGTGATGTGTGCGTTCAATTCACAGAGTATAACCTTTCTTTTGATGGAGGAGTTTGGAGACACTGTCTTTGTAAAGTCTGCAAGTGGATATTTGGACCTCTTTGAGGCCTTCGTTGGAAACGGGATTTCCTCATATAATGTTACACAGAAGAATTCTCAGTAACTTATTTGTGGTGTGTGTATTCAACTCACAGAGATGAACCTTCCTTCAGAAAGAGCAGATTTGAAACACTCTTTTTGTGGAGTTTCCATGTGGAGATTTCAATCGCTTTGAGACCAAAGGTAGAAAAGGAAACATCTTCGTATAACAACTAGACAGAATCATTCACAGAAACTACTTTGTGATGTGTGTGTTCAACTCAAGGAGTTTAACCTTTCTTTTGATGGAGCAGTTTGGAAACACTCTGTCTGTAAAGTCTGCAAGCAGATATTTGGACCTCTTTGAGGCCTTCGTTGGAAACGGGATTTCTTCATATAATGTTTGATAGGAGAAGTCTCAGTAACTTCTTTGTGCTGTGTGTATTCAACTCATAGAGTTGAACTTTCCTTTAGAAGAGCAGATGTTAAACACCCTTTTTGTGGAATTTGCAGCTGGAGATTTCAAGCGCTTTGAGGCCTACGGTAGAAAAGGAAACATCTTCTTATAAAATCTAGACAGAATCATTCACAGAAACTTCTTTTTGATGTGTGTGTTCAGCTCACAGAGTTTAACCTTTCTTTTGATGGAGCAGTTTGGAAACACTCTGTTTGTAATGTCTGCAAGTGGATATTTGGACCTCTTTGAGGCCTTCGTTGGAAACGGGATTTCTTCAAGTAATGTTCGACAGAAGAATTCTCAGTAACTTATTTGTGGTGTGTGTATTCAACTCCCTGAGTTGAACCTTCCTTTAGACAGAGCAGATTTGAAACACCCTATTTGTGCAGTTTCCAGTTGGAGATTTCAATCGCTTTGAGACCAAATGTAGAAAAGGAAACATCTTCGTATAAAAACTAGACAGCATCATTCTCAGAAACTAATTTGTGATGTGTGCGTTCAACTCAAGGAGTTTAAGCTTTCTTTTCATAGAGTAGTTTGGAAACACTCTGTCTGTAAAGTCTGCAAGCAGATATTTGGACCTCTTTGGGGCCTTCGTTGGAAACGGGATTTCTTCATAGAACGCTAGAAAGAAGAATACTCAGTAAGTTCTTTGTGTTGCCTCTATTCAACTCACAGAGGTGAACTGTCCTTTAGACAGAGCAGATGTGAAACCCTCTTTTTGTGATATTTGCAGGTGGAGATTTCAAGCGCTTTTAGGCCAAATGTAGAAAAGGAAATATCTTCGTATAAAAACTAGACAGAATCATTCTCAGCAAACTACTTTGTGATGTGTGCGTTCAATTCACAGAGTATAACCTTTCTTTTGATGGAGGAGTTTGGAGACACTGTCTTTGTAAAGTCTGCAAGTGGATATTTGGACCTCTTTGAGGCCTTCGTTGGAAACGGGATTTCCTCATATAATGTTACACAGAAGAATTCTCAGTAACTTATTTGTGGTGTGTGTATTCAACTCACAGAGTTGAACCTTCCTTCAGAAAGAGCAGATTTGAAACACTCTTTTTGTGGAGTTTCCATGTGGAGATTTCAATCGCTTTGAGACCAAAGGTAGAAAAGGAAACATCTTCGTATAAAAACTAGACAGAATCATTCACAGAAACTACTTTGTGATGTGTGTGTTCAACTCAAGGAGTTTAACCTTTCTTTTGATGGAGCAGTTTGGAAACACTCTGTCTGTAAAGTCTGCAAGCAGATATTTGGACCTCTTTGAGGCCTTCGTTGGAAACGGGATTTCTTCATAGAATGCTAGAAAGAAGAAGTCTCAGTAACTTCTTTGTGCTGTGTGTATTCAACTCATAGAGTTGAACTTTCCTTTAGAAGAGCAGATGTTAAACACCCTTTTTGAGGAATTTGCAGCTGGAGATTTGAAGCGCTTTGAGGCCTACGGTAGAAAAGGAAACATCTTCTTATAAAATCTAGACAGAATCATTCACAGAAACTTCTTTTTGATGTGTGTGTTCAGCTCACAGTGTTTAACCTTTCTTTTGTTGGAGCAGTTTGGAAACACACTGTTTGTAATGTCTGCAAGTGGATATTTGGACCTCTTTGAGGTCTTCGTTGGAAACGGGATTTCTTCATGTAATGTTCGACAGAAGAATTCTCAGTAACTTATTTGTGGTGTGTGTATTCAACTCACAGAGTTGAACCTTCCTTTAGACAGAGCAGATTTGAAACACCCTATTTGTGCAGTTTCCAGTTGGAGATTCCAATCGCTTTGAAACCAAATGTAGAAAAGGAAACATCTTCGTATAAAAACTAGACAGAATCATTCTCAGAAACTTCTTTGTGATGTGTGCGTTCAACTCAAGGAGTTTAAGCTTTCTTTTCATAGAGTAGTTTGGAAACACTCTGTCTGTAAAGTCTGCAAGCAGATATTTGGACCTCTTTGAGGCCTTCGTTGGAAACGGGATTTCTTCATATAACGCTAGAAAGAAGAATACTGAGTAAGTTCTTTGTGTTGCCTCTATTCAACTCACAGAGGTGAACTGTCCTTTAGACAGAGCAGATGTGAAACCCTCTTTTTGTGATATTTGCAGGTGGAGATTTCAAGCGCTTTGAGGCCAAATGTAGAAAAGGAAATATCTTCGTATAAAAACTAGACAGAATCATTCTCAGAAACTACTTTGTGATGTGTGCGTTCAATTCACAGAGTATAACCTTTCTTTTGATGGAGGAGTTTGGAGACACTGTCTTTGTAAAGTCTGCAAGTGGATATTTGGAGCTCTTTGAGGCCTTCGTTGGAAACGGGATTTCCTCATATAATGTTACACAGAAGAATTCTCAGTAACTTATTTGTGGTGTGTGTATTCAACTCACAGAGATGAACCTTCCTTCAGAAAGAGCAGATTTGAAACACTCTTTTTGTGGAGTTTCCATGTTGAGATTTCAATCGCTTTGAGACCAAAGGTAGAAAAGGAAACATCTTCGTATAACAACTAGACAGAATCATTCACAGAAACTACTTTGTGATGTGTGTGTTCAACTCAAGGAGTTTAACCTTTCTTTTGATGAAGCAGTTTGGAAACACTCTGTCTGTAAAGTCTGCAAGCAGATATTTGGACCTCTTTGAGGCCTTCGTTGGAAACGGGATTTCTTCATATAATGTTTGATAGGAGAAGTCTCAGCAACTTCTTTGTGCTGTGTGTATTCAACTCATAGAGTTGAACTTTCCTTTAGAAGAGCAGATGTTAAACACCCTTTTTGTGGAATTTGCAGCTGGAGATTTCAAGCGCTTTGAGGCCTACGGTAGAAAAGGAAACATCTTCTTATAAAATCTAGACAGAATCATTCACAGAAACTTCTTTTTGATGTGTGTGTTCAGCTCACAGAGTTTAACCTTTCTTTTGATGGAGCAGTTTGGAAACACTCTGTTTGTAATATCTGCAAGTGAATATTTGGACCTCTTTGAGGCCTTCGTTGGAAACGGGATTTCTTCAAGTAATGTTCGACACAAGAATTCTCAGTAACTTATTTGTGGTGTGTGTATTCAACTCACAGAGTTGAACCTTCCTTTAGACAGAGCAGATTTGAAACACCCTATTTGTGCAGTTTCCAGTTGGAGATTTCAATCGCTTTGAGACCAAATGTAGAAAAGGAAACATCTTCGTATAAAAACTGGACAGAATCATTCTCAGAAACTACTTTGTGATGTGTGCGTTCAACTCAAGGAGTTTAAGCTTTCTTTTCATAGAGTAGTTTGGAAACACTCTGTCTGTAAAGTCTGCAAGCAGATATTTGGACCTCATTGGGGCCTTCGTTGGAAACGGGATTTCTTCATAGAACGCTAGAAAGAAGAATACTGAGTAAGTTCTTTGTGTTGCCTCTATCCAACTCACAGAGGTGAACTGTCCTTTAGACAGAGCAGATGTGAAACCCTCTTTTTGTGATATTTGCAGGTGGAGATTTCAAGCGCTTTTAGGCCATATATAAAAAAGGAAATATCTTCGTATAAAAACTAGACAGAATCATTCTCAGAAACTACTTTGTGATGTGTGCGTTCAATTCACAGAGTATAACCTTTCTTTTGACGGAGGAGTTTGGAGACACTGTCTTTGTAAAGTCTGCAAGCAGATATTTGGACCTCTTTGGGGCCTTCGTTGGAAACGGGATTTCTTCATAGAATGCTAGAAAGAAGAATTCTCAGTAACTTATTTGTGGTGTGTGTATTCAACTCACAGAGATGAACCTTCCTTCAGAAAGAGCAGATTTGAAACACTCTTTTTGTGGAGTTTCCATGTGGAGATTTCAATCGCATTGAGACCAAAGGTAGAAAAGGAAACATCTTCGTATAAAAACTAGACAGAATCATTCACAGAAACTACTTTGTGATGTGTGTGTTCAACTCAAGGAGTTTAACCTTTCTTTTGATGGAGCAGTTTGGAAACACACTGTCTGTAAAGTCTGCAAGCAGATATTTGCACCTCTTTGAGGCCTTCGTTGGAAACGGGATTTCTTCATATAATGTTTGATAGGAGAAGTCTCAGTAACTTCTTTGTGCTGTGTGTATTCAACTCACAGAGCTGAACTTTACTTTAGACCGAGCAGATGTTAAACACAATTTTTGTGGAATTTGCAGCTGGAGATTTCTAGCGCTTTGAGGCCTATGGTAGAAAAGGAAACATCTTCGTATAAAATCTAGACAGAATCATTCACAGAAACTTCTTTTTGATGTGTGTGTTCAGCTCACAGAGTTTAACCTTTCTTTTGATGGAGCAGTTGGGAAACACACTGTTTGTAATGTCTGCAAGTGGATATTTGGACCTCTTTGAGGCCTTCGTTGGAAACGGGATTTCTTCCTCTAATGTTCGACAGAAGAATTCTCAGTAACTTATTTGTGGTGTGTGTATTCAACTCACAGAGTTGAACCTTCCTTTAGACAGAGCAGATTTGAAACAGCCTATTTGTGCAGTTTCCAGTTGGAGATTTCAATCGCTTTGAGACCAAATGTAGAAAGGGAAACATCTTCGTATAAAAACTAGACAGAATCATTCTCAGAAACTACTTTGTGATGTGTGCGTTCAACTCAAGGAGTTTAAGCTTTCTTTTCATAGAGTAGTTTGGAAACACTCTGTCTGTAAAGTCTGCAAGCAGATATTTGGACCTCTTTGGGGCCTTCGTTGGAAACGGGATTTCTTCATAGAACGCTAGAAAGAAGAATACTGAGTAAGTTCTTTGTGTTGCCTCTATTCAACTCACAGAGGTGAACTGTCCTTTAGACAGAGCAGATGTGAAACCCTCTTTTTGTGATATTTGCAGGTGGAGATTTCAAGCGCTTTTAGGCCAAATGTAGAAAAGGAAATATCTTCGTATAAAAACTAGACAGAATCATTCTCAGAAACTACTTTGTGATGTGTGCGTTCAATTCACGGAGTATAACCTTTCTTTTGATGGAGGAGTTTGGAGACACTGTCTTTGTAAAGTCTGCAAGTGGATATTTGGACCTCTTTGAGGCCTTCGTTGGAAACGGGATTTCCTCATATAATGTTACACAGAAGAATTCTCAGTAACTTATTTGTGGTGTGTGTATTCAACTCACAGAGATGAACCTTCCTTCAGAAAGAGCAGATTTGAAACACTCTTTTTGTGGAGTTTCCATGTGGAGATTTCAATCGCTTTGAGACCAAAGGTAGAAAAGGAAACATCTTCGTATAACAACTAGACAGAATCATTCACAGAAACTACTTTGTGATGTGTGTGTTCAACTCAAGGAGTTTAACCTTTCTTTTGATGGAGCAGTTTGGAAACACTCTGTCTGTAAAGTCTGCAAGTAGATATTTGGACCTCTTTGAGGCCTTCGTTGGAAACGGGATTTCTTCATATAATGTTTGATAGGAGAAGTCTCAGTAACTTCTTTGTGCTGTGTGTATTCAACTCATAGAGTTGAACTTTCCTTTAGAAGAGCAGATGTTAAACACCCTTTTTGTGGAATTTGCAGCTGGAGATTTCAAGCGCTTTGAGGCCTACGGTAGAAAAGGAAACATCTTCTTATAAAATCTAGACAGAATCATTCACAGAAACTTCTTTTTGATGTGTGTGTTCAGCTCACAGAGTTTAACCTTTCTTTTGATGGAGCAGTTTGGAAACACTCTGTTTGTAATGCCTGCAAGTGGATATTTGGACCTCTTTGAGGCCTTCGTTGGAAACGGGAATTCTTCATGTAATGTTCGACAGAAGAATTCTCAGTAACTTATTTGTGGTGTGTGTATTCAACTCAAAGAGTTGAACCTTCCTTTAGACAGAGCAGATTTGAAACACCCTATTTGTGCAGTTTCCAGTTGGAGATTTCAATCGCTTTGGGACCAAATGTAGAAAAGGAAACATCTTCGTATAAAAACTAGACAGAATCATTCTCAGAAACTACTTTGTGATGTGTGCGTTCAACTCAAGAAGTTTCAGCTTTCTTTTCATAGAGTAGTTTGGAAACACTCTGTCTGTAAAGTCTGCAAGCAGATATTTGGACCTCTTTGGGGCCTTCGTTGGAAACGTGATTTCTTCATAGAACGCTAGAAAGAAGAATACTGAGTAAGTTCTTTGTGTTGCCTCTATTCAACTCACAGAGGTGAACTGTCCTTTAGACAGAGCAGATGTGAAACCCTCTTTTTGTGATATTTGCAGGTGGAGATTTCAAGCGCTTTTAGGCCAAATGTAGAAAAGGAAATATCTTCGTATAAAAACTAGACAGAATCATTCTCAGAAACTACTTTGTGATGTGTGCGTTCAATTCACAGAGTATAACCTTTCTTTTGACGGAGGAGTTTGGAGACACTGTCTTTGTAAAGTCTGCAAGCAGATATTTGGACCTCTTTGGGGCCTTCGTTGGAAACGGGATTTCTTCATAGAATGCTAGAAAGAAAGAATTCTCAGTAACTTATTTGTGGTGTGTGTATTCAACTCACAGAGATGAACCTTCCTTCAGAAAGAGCAGATTTGAAACACTCTTTTTGTGGAGTTTCCATGTGGAGATTTCAATCGCTTTGAGACCAAAGGTAGAAAAGGAAACATCTTCGTATAACAACTAGACAGAATCATTCACAGAAACTACTTTGTGATGTGTGTGTTCAACTCAAGGAGTTTAACCTTTCTTTTGATGGAGCAGTTTGGAAACACTCTGTCTGTAAAGTCTGCAAGCAGATATTTGGACCTCTTTGAGGCCTTCGTTGGAAACGGGATTTCTTCATATAATGTTTGATAGGAGAAGTCTCAGTAACTTCTTTGTGCTGTGTGTATTCAACTCATAGAGTTGAACTTTCCTTTAGAAGAGCAGATGTTAAACACCCTTTTTGTGGAATTTGCAGCTGGAGATTTCAAGCGCTTTGAGGCCTACGGTAGAAAAGGAAACATCTTCTTATAAAATCTAGACAGAATCATTCACAGAAACTTCTTTTTGATGAGTGTGTTCAGCTCACAGAGTTTAACCTTTCTTTTGATGGAGCAGTTGGGAAACACACTGTTTGTAATGTCTGCAAGTGGATATTTGGACCTCTTTGAGGCCTTCGTTGGAAACGGGATTTCTTCCTGTAAAGTTCGACAGAAGAATTCTCAGTAACTTATTTGTGGTGTGTGTATTCAACTCACAGAGTTGAACCTTCCTTTAGACAGAGCAGATTTGAAACACCCTATTTGTGCAGTTTCCAGTTGGAGATTTCAATCGCTTTGAGACCAAATGTAGAAAAGGAAACATCTTTGTATAAAAACTAGACAGAATCATTCTCAGAAACTACTTTGTGATGTGTGCGTTCAACTCAAGGAGTTTAAGCTTTCTTTTCATAGAGTAGTTTGGAAACACTCTGTCTGTAAAGTCTGCAAGCAGATATTTGGACCTCTTTGAGGCCTTCGTTGGAAACGGGATTTCTTCATATAACGCTAGAAAGAAGAATACTGAGTAAGTTCTTTGTGTTCCCTCTATTCAACTCACAGAGGTGAACTGTCCTTTAGACAGAGCAGATGTGAAACCCTCTTTTTGTGATATTTGCAGGTGGAGATTTCAAGCGCTTTTAGGCCAAATGTAGAAAAAGAAATATCTTCATATAAAAACTAGACAGAATCATTCTCAGAAACTACTTTGTGATGTGTGCGTTCAATTCACAGAGTATAACCTTTCTTTTGATGGAGGAGTTTGGAGACACTGTCTTTGTAAAGTCTGCAAGTGGATATTTGGACCTCTTTGAGGCCTTCGTTGGAAACGGGATTTCCTCATATAATGTTACCCAGAAGAATTCTCAGTAACTTATTTGTGGTGTGTGTATTCAACTCACAGAGTTGAACCTTCCTTCAGAAAGAGCAGATTTGAAACACTCTTTTTGTGGAGTTTCCATGTGGAGATTTCAATCGCATTGAGACCAAAGGTAGAAAAGGAAACATCTTCGTATAAAAACTAGACAGAATCATTCACAGAAACTACTTTGTGATGTGTGTGTTCAACTCAAGGAGTTTAACCTTTCTTTTGATGGAGCAGTTTGGAAACACTCTGTCTGTAAAGTCTGCAAGCAGATATTTGGACCTCTTTGAGGCCTTCGTTGGAAACGGGATTTCTTCATATAATGTTTGATAGGAGAAGTCTCAGTAACTTCTTTGTGCTGTGTGTATTCAACTCATAGAGTTGAACTTTCCTTTAGAAGAGCAGATGTTAAACACCCTTTTTGTGGAATTTGCAGCTGGAGATTTCAAGCGCTTTGAGGCCTACGGTAGAAAAGGAAACATCTTCTTATAAAATCTAGACAGAATCATTCACAGAAACTTCTTTTTGATGTGTGTGTTCAGCTCACAGAGTTTAACCTTTCTTTTGATGGAGCAGTTTGGAAACACTCTGTTTGTAATGTCTGCAAGTGGATATTTGGACCTCTTTGAGGCCTTCTTTGGAAACGGGATTTCTTCAAGTAATGTTCGACAGAAGAATTCTCAGTAACTTATTTGTGGTGTGTGTATTCAACTCACAGAGTTGAACCTTCCTTTAGACAGAGCAGATTTGAAACACCCTATTTGTGCAGTTTCCAGTTGGAGATTTCAATCGCTTTGAGACCAAATGTAGAAAAGGAAACATCTTCGTATAAAAACTAGACAGAATCATTCACAGATACTACTTTGTGATGTGTGTGTTCAACTCAAGGAGTTTAACCTTTCTTTTGATGGAGCAGTTTGGAAAAACTCTGTCTGTAAAGTCTGCAAGCAGATATTTGGACGTCTTTGGGGTCTTCGTTGGAAAGGGGATTTCTTCATAGAACGCTAGAAAGAAGAATACTCAGTAACTTCTTTTTGTTGCCTCTATTCAACTCACAGAGGTGAACTGTCCTTTAGACAGAGCAGATGTGAAACCCTCTTTTTGTGATATTTGCAGGTGGAGATTTCAAGCGCTTTTAGGCCAAATGTAGAAAAGGAAATATCTTCGTATAAAAACTAGACAGAATCATTCTCAGAAACTACTTTGTGATGTGTGCGTTCAATTCACAGACTATAACCTTTCTTTTGATGGAGGAGTTTGGAGACACTGTCTTTGTAAAGTCTGCAAGTGGATATTTGGACCTCTTTGAGGCCTTCGTTGGAAACGGGATTTCCTCATATAATGTTACACAGAAGAATTCTCAGTAACTTATTTGTGGTGTGTGTATTCAACTCACAGAGTTGAACCTTCCTTCAGAAAGAGCAGATTTGAAACACTCTTTTTGTGGAGTTTCCATGTGGAGATTTCAATCGCTTTGAGACCAAAGGTAGAAAAGGAAACATCTTCGTATAAAAACTAGACAGAATCATTCACAGAAACTACTTTGTGATGGGTGTTTTCAACTCAAGGAGTTTAACCTTTCTTTTGATGGAGCAGTTTGGAAAAACTCTGTCTTTAAAGTCTGCAAGCAGATATTTGGACCTCTTTGAGGCCTTCGTTGGAAACGGGATTTCTTCATATAATGTTTGATAGGAGAAGTCTCAGTAACTTCTTTGTGCTGTGTGTATTCAACTCATAGAGTTGAACTTTCCTTTAGAAGAGCAGATGTTAAACACCCTTTTTGTGGAATTTGCAGCTGGAGATTTCAAGCGCTTTGAGTCCTACGGTAGAAATGGAAACATCTTATAAAATCTTGACAGAATCATTCACAGCAAACTTCTTTTTGATGTGTGTGTTCAGCTCACAGAGTTTAACCTTTCTTTTGATGGAGCAGTTTGGAAACACTCTGTTTGTAATGTCTGCAAGTGGATATTTGGACCTCTTTGAGGCCTTCGTTGGGAAAGGGATTTCTTCATGTAATGTTCGACAGAAGAATTCTCAGTAACTTATTTGTGGTGTGTGTATTCAACTCACAGAGTTGAACCTTCCTTTAGACAGAGCAGATTTGAAACTCCCTATTTGTGCAGTTTCCAGTTGGAGATTTCAATCGCTTTGAGACCAAATGTAGAAAAGGAAACATCTTCGTATAAAAACTAGACAGAATCATTCTCAGAAACTACTTTGTGATGTGTGCGTTCAACTCAAGGAGTTTAAGCTTTCTTTTCATAGAGTAGTTTGGAAACACTCTGTCTGTAAAGTCTGCAAGCAGATATTTGACCTCTTTGAGGCCTTCGTTGGAAACGGGATTTCTTCATAGAACGCTAGAAAGAAGAATACTGAGTACGTTCTTTGTGTTGCCTCTATTCAACTCACAGAGGTGAACTGTCCTTTAGACAGAGCAGATGTGAAACCCTCTTTTTGTGATATTTGCAGGTGGAGATTTCAAGCGCTTTTAGGCCAAATGTAGAAAAGGAAATATCTTCGTATAAAAACTAGACAGAATCATTCTCAGAAACTACTTTGTGATGTGTGCGTTCAATTCACAGAGTATAACCTTTCTTTTGATGGAGGAGTTTGGAGACACTGTCTTTGTAAAGTCTGCAAGTGGATATTTGGACCTCTTTGAGGCCTTCGTTGGAAACGGGATTTCCTCATATAATGTTACCCAGAAGAATTCTCAGTAACTTATTTGTGGTGTGTGTATTCAACTCACAGAGTTGAACCTTCCTTCAGAAAGAGCAGATTTGAAACACTCTTTTTGTGGAGTTTCCATGTGGAGATTTCAATCGCTTTGAGACCAAAGGTAGAAAAGGAAACATCTTCGTATAAAAACTAGACAGAATCATTCACAGAAACTACTTTGTGATGTGTGTGTTCAACTCAAGGAGTTTAACCTTTCTTTTGATGGAGCAGTTTGGAAACACTCTGTCTGTAAAGTCTGCAAGTAGATATTTGGACCTCTTTGAGGCCTTCGTTGGAAACGGGATTTCTTCATATAATGTTTGATAGGACAAGTCTCAGTAACTTCTTTGTGCTGTGTGTATTCAACTCATAGAGTTGAACTTTCCTTTAGAAGAGCAGATGTTAAACACCCTTTTTGTGGAATTTGCAGCTGGAGATTTCAAGCGCTTTGAGGCCTACGGTAGAAAAGGAAACATCTTCTTATAAAATCTAGACAGAATCATTCACAGAAACTTCTTTTTGATGTGTGTGTTCAGCTCACAGAGTTTAACCTTTCTTTTGATGGAGCAGTTTGGAAACACTCTGTTTGTAATGTCTGCAAGTGGATATTTGGACGTCTTTGAGGCCTTCGTTGGAAACGGGATTTCTTCAAGTAATGTTCGACAGAAGAATTCTCAGTAACTTATTTGTGGTGTGTGTATTCAACTCACAGAGTTGAACCTTCCTTTACACAGAGCAGATTTGAAACACCCTATTTGTGCAGTTTCCAGTTGGAGATTTCAATCGCTTTGAGACCAAATGTAGAAAAGGAAACATCTTCGTATAAAAACTAGACAGAATCATTCTCAGAAACTACTTTGTGTTATGTGCGTTCAATTCAAGGAGTTTAAGCTTTCTTTTCATAGAGTAGTTTGGAAACACTCTGTCTGTAAAGTCAGCAAGCAGATATTTGGACCTCATTGGGGTCTTCGTTGGAAACGGGATTTCTTCATAGAACGCTAGAAAGAAGAATACTGAGTAAGTTCTTTGTGTTGCCTCTATTCAACTCACAGAGGTGAACTGTCCTTTAGACAGAGCAGATGTGAAACCCTCTTTTTGTGATATTTGCAGGTGGAGATTTCAAGCGCTTTTAGGCCAAATGTAGAAAAGGAAATATCTTCGTATAAAAACTAGACAGAATCATTCTCAGAAACTACTTTGTGATGTGTGCGTTCAATTCACAGAGTATAACCTTTCTTTTGATGGAGGAGTTTGGAGACACTGTCTTTGTAAAGTCTGCAAGTGGATATTTGGACCTCTTTGAGGCCTTCGTTGGAAACGGGATTTCCTCATATAATGTTACACAGAAGAATTCTCAGTAACTTATTTGTGGTGTGTGTATTCAACTCACAGAGATGAACCTTCCTTCAGAAAGAGCAGATTTGAAACACTCTTTTTGTGGAGTTTCCATGTGGAGATTTCAATCGCTTTGAGACCAAAGGTAGAAAAGGAAACATCTTCGTATAAAAACTAGACAGAATCATTCACAGAAACTACTTTGTGATGTGTGTGTTCAACTCAAGGAGTTTAACCTTTCTTTTGATGGAGCAGTTTGGAAAAACTCTGTCTGTAAAGTCTGCAAGCAGATATTTGGACCTCTTTGGGGCCTTCGTTGGAAACGGGATTTCTTCACAGAATGCTAGAAAGAAGAAGTCTCAGTAACTTCTTTGTGCTGTGTGTATTCAATGCATAGAGTTGAACTTTCCTTTAGAAGAGCAGATGTTAAACACCCTTTTTGTGGAATTTGCAGGTGGAGATTTCAAGCGCTTTGAGGCCTACGGTAGAAAAGGAAACATCTTCTTATAAAATCTAGACAGAATCATTCACAGAAACTTCTTTTTGATATGTGTGTTCAGCTCACAGAGTTTAACCTTTCTTTTGATGGAGCAGTTTGGAAACACTCTGTTTGTAATGTCTGCAAGTGGATATTTGGACCTCTTTGAGGCCTTCGTTGGAAACGGGATTTCTTCAAGTAATGTTCGACAGAAGAATTCTCAGTAACTTATTTGTGGTGTGTGTATTCAACTCACAGAGTTGAACCTTCCTTTAGACAGAGCAGATTTGAAACACCCTATTTGTGCAGTTTCCAGTTGGAGATTTCAATCGCTTTGAGACCAAATGTAGAAAAGGAAACATCTTCGTATAAAAACTAGACAGAATCATTCTCAGAAACTACTTTGTGATGTGTGCGTTCAACTCAAGGAGTTTAAGCTTTCTTTTCATAGAGTAGTTTGGAAACACTCTGTCTGTAAAGTCTGCAAGCAGATATTTGACCTCTTTGAGGCCTTCGTTGGAAACGGGATTTCTTCATAGAACGCTAGAAAGAAGAATACTGAGTAAGTTCTTTGTGTTGCCTCTATTCAACTCACAGAGGTGAACTCTCCTTTAGATAGAGCAGATGTGAAACCCTCTTTTTGTGATATTTGCAGGTGGAGATTTCAAGCGCTTTTAGGCCAAATGTAGAAAAGGAAATATCCTTCGTATAAAAACTAGACAGAATCATTCTCAGCAAACTACTTTGTGATGTGTGCGTTCAATTCACAGAGTATAACCTTTCTTTTGATGGAGGAGTTTGGAGACACTGTCTTTGTAAAGTCTGCAAGTGGATATTTGGACCTCTTTGAGGCCTTCGTTGGAAACGGGATTTCCTCATATAATGTTACACAGAAGAATTCTCAGTAACTTATTTGTGGTGTGTGTATTCAACTCACAGAGTTGAACCTTCCTTCAGAAAGAGCAGATTTGAAACACTCTTTTTGTCGAGTTTCCATGTGGAGACTTCAATCGCTTTGAGACCAAAGGTAGAAAAGGAAACATCTTCGTATAAAAACTAGACAGAATCATTCACAGAAACTACTTTGTGATGTGTGTGTTCAACTCAAGGAGGTTAACCTTTCTTTTGATGGAGCAGTTTGGAAACCCTCTGTCTGTAAGGTCTGCAAGCAGATATTTGGACCTCTTTGAGGCCTTCGTTGGAAACGGGATTTCTTCATATAATGTTTGATAGGAGAAGTCTCAGTAACTTCTTTGTGCTGTGTGTATTCAACTCATAGAGTTGAACTTTCCTTTAGAAGAGCAGATGTTAAACACCCTTTTTGTGGAATTTGCAGCTGGAGATTTCCAGCGCTTTGAGGCCTACGGTAGAAAAGGAAACATCTTATAAAATCTAGACAGAATCATTCACAGAAACTACTTTGTGATGTGTGTGTTCAGCTCACAGAGTTTAACCTTTCTTTTGATGGTGCAGTTTGGAAACACTCTGTTTGGCAAGTCTGCAAGTGGATATTTGGACCTCTTTGAGGCCTTCGTTGGAAACGGGATTTATTCATATAATGTTAGACAGAAGAAGTCTCAGTAACTTCTTTGTGCTGTGTGTATTCAACTCACAGAGCTGAACTTTACTTTAGACAGAGCAGATGTTAAACACACTTTTTGTGGAATTTGCAGCTGGAGATTTCTAGCACTTTGAGGCCTGTGGTAGAAAAGGAAACATCTTCTTATAAAATCTAGACAGAATCATTCACAGAAACTTCTTTTTGATGTTAGTGTTCATCTCACAGAGTTTAAGCTTTCTTTTGATGGAGCAGTTTGCAAACACTATGTTTGCATTGTCGGCAACTGGATATTTGGACCTCTTTGAGGCCTTCGTTGGAAACGGGATTTCTTCATGTAATGTTCGAGAGAAGAATTCTCAGTAACTTATTTGTGGTGTGTGTATTCAACTCACAGAGTTGAACCTTCCTTTAGACAGAGCAGATTTGAAACACCCTATTTGTGCAGTTTCCAGTTGGAGATTTCAATCGCTTTGAGACCAAATGTAGAAAAGGAA
Source organism: Homo sapiens (assembly GCF_000001405.40). Lineage (NCBI taxonomy): Eukaryota > Metazoa > Chordata > Mammalia > Primates > Hominidae > Homo > Homo sapiens. Next base: position 37,082,647 of record NC_000012.12, read on the forward strand.
ACATCTTCGTATAAAAACTAGACAGAATCATTCTCAGAAACTACTTTGTGATGTGTGCGTTCAACTCAAGGAGTTTAAGCTTTCTTTTCATAGAGTAGTTTGGAAACACTCTGTCTGTAAAGTCTGCAAGCAGATATTTGACCTCTTTGAGGCCTTCGTTGGAAACGGGATTTCTTCATAGAATGCTAGAAAGAAGAATACTGAGTAAGTTCTTTGTGTTGCCTCTATTCAACTCACAGAGGTGAACTGTCCTTTAGACAGAGCAGATGTGAAACCCTCTTTTTGTGATATTTGCAGGTGGAGATTTCAAGCGCTTTTAGGCCAAATGTAGAAAAGGAAATATCTTCGTATAAAAACTAGACAGAATCATTCTCAGAAACTACTTTGTGATGTGTGCGTTCAATTCACAGAGTAAAACCTTTCTTTTGAGGGAGGAGTTTGGAGACACGGTCTTTGAAAAGTCTGCAAGTGGATATTTGGACTCTTTGAGGCCTTCGTTGGAAACGCGATTTCCTCATAGAATGTTACACAGAAGAATTCTCAGTAACTTATTTGTGGTGTGTGTATTCAACTCACAGAGATGAACCTTCCTTCAGAAAGAGCAGATTTGAAACCCTCTTTTTGTGGAGTTTCCATGTGGAGATTTCAATCGCTTTGAGACCAAAGGTAGAAAAGGAAACATCTTCGTATAACAACTAGACAGAATCATTCACAGAAACTACTTTGTGATGTGTGTGTTCAACTCAAGGAGTTTAACCTTTCTTTTGATGGAGCAGTTTGGAAACACTCTGTCTGTAAAGTCTGCAAGCAGATATTTGGACCTCTTTGAGGCCTTCGTTGGAAACGGGATTTCTTCATATAATGTTTGATAGGAGAAGTCTCAGTAACTTCTTTGTGCTGTGTGTATTCAACTCATAGAGTTGAACTTTCCTTTAGAAGAGCAGATGTTAAACACCCTTTTTGTGGAATTTGCAGCTGGAGATTTCAAGCGCTTTGAGGCCTACGGTAGAAAAGGAAACATCTTCTTATAAAATCTAGACAGAATCATTCACAGAAACTTCTTTTTGATGTGTGTGTTCAGCTCACAGAGTTTAACCTTTCTTTTGATGGAGCATTTTGGAAACACTCTGTTTGTAATGTCTGCAAGTGGATATTGGGACCTCTTTGAGGCCTTCGTTGGAAACGGGATTTCTTCATGTAATATTCGACAGAAGAATTCTCAGTAACTTATTTGTCGTGTGTGTATTCAACTCACAGAGTTGAACCTTCCTTTAGACAGAGCAGATTTGAAACACCCTATTTGTGCAGTTTCCAGTTGGAGATTTCAATGGTTTGAGGCCAATCATAGAAACGGAAATATCTTCGTATAAAAACAAGACAGAATCATTCTCAGAAACTACTTTGTGATGTGTGCGTTCAACTCAAGGAGTTTAAGCTTTCTTTTCATAGAGTAGTTTGGAAACACTCTGTCTGTAAAGTCTGCAAGCAGATATTTGGACCTCTTTGGGGCCTTCGTTGGAAACGGGATTTCTTCATAGAACGCTAGAAAGAAGAATACTGAGTAAGTTCTTTGTGTTGCCTCTATTCAACTCACAGAGGTGAACTGTCCTTTAGACAGAGCAGATGTGAAACCCTCTTTTTGTGATATTTGCAGGTGGAGATTTCAAGCGCTTTTAGGCCAAATGTAGAAAAGGAAATATCTTCGTATAAAAACTAGACAGAATCATTCTCAGAAACTACTTTCTGATGTGTGCGTTCAATTCACAGAGTATATCCTTTCTTTGATGGAAGAGTTTGGAGACACTGTCTTTGTAAAGTCTGCAAGTGGATATTTGGACCTCTTTGAGGCCTTCGTTGGAAACGGGATTTCCTCATATAATGTTACACAGAAGAATTCTCAGTAACTTATTTGTGGTGTGTGTATTCAACTCACAGAGTTGAACCTTCCTTCAGAAAGAGCAGATTTGAAACACTCTTTTTGTGGAGTTTCCATGTGGAGATTTCAATCGCATTGAGACCAAAGGTAGAAAAGGAAACATCTTCGTATAAAAACTAGACAGAATCATTCACAGAAACTACTTTGTGATGTGTGTGTTCAACTCAAGGAGTTTAACCTTTCTTTTGATGGAGCAGTTTGGAAACACTCTGTCTGTAAAGTCTGCAAGCAGATATTTGGACCTCTTTGAGGCCTTCGTTGGAAACGGGATTTCTTCATATAATGTTTGATAGGAGAAGTCTCAGTAACTTCTTTGTGCTGTGTGTATTCAACTCATAGAGTTGAACTTTCCTTTAGAAGAGCAGATGTTAAACACCCTTTTTGTGGAATTTGCAGCTGGAGATTTCAAGCGCTTTGAGGCCTACGGTAGAAAAGGAAACATCTTCTTATAAAATCTAGACAGAATCATTCACAGAAACTTCTTTTTGATGTGTGTGTTCAGCTCACAGAGTTTAACCTTTCTTTTGATGGAGCAGTTGGGAAACACACTGTTTGTAATGTCTGCAAGTGGATATTTGGACCTCTTTGAGGCCTTCGTTGGAAACGGGATTTCTTCCTGTAATGTTCGACAGAAGAATTCTCAGTAACTTATTTGTGGTGTGTGTATTCAACTCACAGAGTTGAACCTTCCTTTAGACAGAGCAGATTTGAAACACCCTATTTGTGCAGTTTCCAGTTGGAGATTTCAATCGCTTTGAGACCAAATGTAGAAAAGGAAACATCTTCGTATAAAAACTAGACAGAATCATTCTCCGAAACTACTTTGTGATGTGTGCGTTCAACTCAAGGAGTTTAAGCTTTCTTTTCATAGAGTAGTTTGGAAACACTCTGTCTGTAAAGTCTGCAAGCAGATATTTGGACCTCTTTGGGGCCTTCGTTGGAAACGGGATTTCTTCATAGAACGCTAGAATGAAGAATACTGAGTAAGTTCTTTGTGTTGCCTCTATTCAACTCACAGAGGTGAACTGTCCTTTAGACAGAGCAGATGTGAAACCCTCTTTTTGTGATATTTGCAGGTGGAGATTTCAAGCGCTTTTAGGCCAAATGTAGAAAAGGAAATATCTTCGTATAAAAACTAGACAGAATCACTCTCAGAAACTACTTTGTGATGTGTGCGTTCAATTCACAGAGTATAACCTTTCTTTTGATGGAGGTGTTTGGAGACACTGTCTTTGTAAAGTCTGCAAGTGGATATTTGGACTTCTTTGAGGCCTTCGTTGGAAACGGGATTTCCTCATATAATGTTACACAGAAGAATTCTCAGTAACTTATTTGTGGTGTGTGTATTCAACTCACAGATTTGAACCTTCCTTCAGAAAAAGCAGATTTGAAACACTCTGTTTGTGGAGTTTCCATGGGGAGATTTCAATGGCTTTGAGACCAAAGGTAGAAAAGGAAACATCTTCGTATAAAAACTAGACAGAATCATTCACAGAAACTACTTTGTGATGTGTGTGTTCAACTCAAGGAGTTTAACCTTTCTTTTGATGGAGCAGTGTGGAAAAACTCTGTCTGTAAAGTCTGCAAGCAGATATTTGGACCTCTTTGAGGCCTTCGTTGGAAACAGGATATCTTCATATAATGTTTGATAGGAGAAGTCTCAGTAACTTCTTTGTGCTGTGTGTATTCAACTCATAGAGTTGAACTTTCCTTTAGAAGAGCAGATGTTAAACACCCTTTTTGTGGAATTTGCAGCTGGAGATTTCAAGCGCTTTGAGGCCTACGGTAGAAAAGGAAACATCTTCTTATAAAATCTAGACAGAATCATTCACAGAAACTTCTTTTTGATGTGTGTGTTCAGCTCACAGAGTTTAACCTTTCTTTTGATGGAGCAGTTTGGAAACACTCTGTTTGTAATGTCTGCAAGTGGATATTTGGACCTCTTTGAGGCCTTCGTTGGAAACGGGATTTCTTCAAGTAATGTTCGACAGAAGAATTCTCAGTAACTTATTTGTGGTGTGTGTATTCAACACACAGAGTTGAACCTTCCTTTAGACAGAGCAGATTTGAAACACCCTATTTGTGCAGTTTCCAGTTGGAGATTTCAATCGCTTTGAGACCAAATGTAGAAAAGGAAACATCTTCGTATAAAAACTAGACAGAATCATTCTCAGAAACTACTTTGTGATGTGTGCGTTCAACTCAAGGAGTTTAAGCTTTCTTTTCATAGAGTAGTTTGGAAACACTCTGTCTGTAAAGTGTGCAAGCAGATATTTGGACCTCTTTGGGGCCTTCGTTGGAAACGGGATTTCTTCATAGAACGCAAGAAAGAAGAATACTGAGTAAGTTCTTTGTGTTGCCTCTATTCAACTCACAGAGGTGAACTGTCCTTTAGACAGAGCAGATGTGAAACCCTCTTTTTGTGATATTTGCAGGTGGAGATTTCAAGCGCTTTTAGGCCAAATGTAGAAAAGGAAATATCTTCGTATAAAAACTAGACAGAATCATTCTCAGAAACTACTTTGTGATGTGTGCGTTCAATTCACAGAGTATAACCTTTCTTTTGATGGAGGAGTTTGGAGACACTGTCTTTGTAAAGTCTGCAAGTGGATATTTGGACCTCTTTGAGGCCTTCGTTGGAAACGGGATTTCCTCATATAATGTTACACAGAAGAATTCTCAGTAACTTATTTGTGGTGTGCGTATTCAACTCACAGTAGTTGAACCTTCCTTCAGAAAGAGCAGATTTGAAACACTCTTTTTGTGGAGTTTCCATGTGGAGATTTCAATCGCTTTGAGACCAAAGGTAGAAAAGGAAACATCTTCGTATAAAAACTAGACAGAATCATTCACAGAAACTACTTTGTGATGTGTGTGTTCAACTCAAGGAGTTTAACCTTTCTTTTGATGGAGCAGTTTGGAAACACTCTGTCTGTAAAGTCTGCAAGCAGATATTTGGACCTCTTTGAGGCCTTCGTTGGAAACGGGATTTCTTCATATAATGTTTGATAGGAGAAGTCTCAGTAACTTCTTTGTGCTGTGTGTATTCAACTCATAGAGTTGAACTTTCCTTTAGAAGAGCAGATGTTAAACACCCTTTTTGTGGAATTTGCAGCTGGAGATTTCAAGCGCTTTGAGGCCTACGGTAGAAAAGGAAACATCTTCTTATAAAATCTAGACAGAATCATTCACAGAAACTTCTTTTTGATGTGTGTGTTCAGCTCACAGAGTTTAACCTTTCTTTTGATGGAGCAGTTTGGAAACACTCTGTTTGTAACGTCTGCAAGTGGATATTTGGACCTCTTTGAGGCCTTCGTTGGAAACGGGATTTCTTCAAGTAATGTTCGACAGAAGAATTCTCAGTAACTTATTTGTGCTGTGTGTATTCAACTCACAGAGCTGAACCTTCCTTTAGACAGAGCAGATTTGAAACAGCCTATTTGTGCAGTTTCCAGTTGGAGATTTCAATCGCTTTGAGACCAAATGTAGAAAAGGAAACATCTTCGTATAAAAACTAGACAGAATCATTCTCAGAAACTACTTTGTGATGTGTGCGTTCAACTCAAGGAGTTTAAGCTTTCTTTTCATAGAGTAGTTTGGAAACACTCTGTCTGTAAAGTCTGCAAGCAGATATTTGGACCTCTTTGAGGCCTTCGTTGGAAACGGGATTTCTTCATAGAACGGTAGAAAGAAGAATACTGAGTAAGTTCTTTGTGTTGCCTCTATTCAACTCACAGAGGTGAACTGTCCTTTAGACAGAGCAGATGTGAAACCCTCTTTTTGTGATATTTGCAGGTGGAGATTTCAAGCGCTTTTAGGCCAAATGTAGAAAAGGAAATATCTTCGTATAAAAACTAGACAGAATCATTCTCAGAAACTACTTTGTGATGTGTGCGTTCAATTCACAGAGTATAACCTTTCTTTTGATGGAGGAGTTTGGAGACACTGTCTTTGTAAAGTCTGCAAGTGGATATTTGGACCTCTTTGAGGCCTTCGTTGGAAACGGGATTTCCTCATATAATGTTACCCAGAAGAATTCTCAGTAACTTATTTGTGGTGTGTATATTCAACTCACAGAGATGAACCTTCCTTCAGAAAGAGCAGATTTGAAACACTCTTTTTGTGGAGTTTCCATGTGGAGATTTCAATCGCTTTGAGACCAAAGGTAGAAAAGGAAACATCTTCGTATAACAACTAGACAGAATCATTCACAGAAACTACTTTGTGATGTGTCTGTTCAACTCAAGGAGTTTAACCTTTCTTTTGATGGAGCAGTTTGGAAACACTCTGTCTGTAAAGTCTGCAAGCAGATATTTGGACCTCTTTGAGGCCTTCGTTGGAAACGGGATTTCTTCATATAATGTTTGATAGGAGTCTCAGTAACTTCTTTGTGCTGTGTGTATTCAACTCATAGAGTTGAAATTTCCTTTAGAAGAGCAGATGTTAAACACCCTTTTTGTGGAATTTGCAGCTGGAGATTTCAAGCGCTTTGAGGCCTACGGTAGAAAAGGAATCATCTTCTTATAAAATCTAGACAGAATCATTCACAGAAACTTCTTTTCGATGTGTGTGTTCAGCTCACAGAGTTTAACCTTTCTTTTGATGGAGCAGTTTGGAAACACTCTGTAATGTCTGCAAGTGGATACTTGGACCTCTTTGAGGCCTTCGTTGGAAACGGGATTTCTTCATGTAATGTTCGACAGAAGAATTCTCAGTAACTTATTTGTGGTGTGTGTATTCAACTCACAGAGTTGAACCTTCCTTTAGACAGAGCAGATTTGAAACAACCTATTTGTGCAGTTTGCACTTGGAGATTTCAATCGCTTTGAGACCAAATGTAGAAAAGGAAACATCTTCGTATAAAAACTAGACACAATCATTCTCAGAAACTACTTTGTGATGTGTGCGTTTAACTCAAGGAGTTTAAGCTTTCTTTTCATAGAGTAGTTTGGAAACACTCTGTCTGTAAAGTCTGCAAGCAGATATTTGGACCTCTTTGAGGCCTTCGTTGGAAACGGGATTTCTTCATAGAACGCTAGAAAGAAGAATACTGAGTAAGTTCTTTGTGTTGCCTCTATTCAACTCACAGAGGTGAACTGTCCTTTAGACAGAGCAAATGTGAAACCCTCTTTTTGTGATATTTGCAGGTGGAGATTTCAAGCGATTTTAGGCCAAATGTAGAAAAGGAAATATCTTCGTATAAAAACTAGACAGAATCATTCTCAGAAACTACTTTGTGATGTGTGCGTTCAATTCACAGAGTATAACCTTTCTTTTGATGGAGGAGTTTGGAGACACTGTCTTTGTAAAGTCTGCAAGTGGATATTTGGACCTCTTTGAGGCCTTCGTTGGAAACGGGATTTCCTCATATAATGTTACACAGAAGAATTCTCAGTAACTTATTTGTGGTGTGTGTATTCAACTCACAGAGTTGAACCTTCCTTCAGAAAGAGCAGATTTGAAACACTCTTTTTGTGGAGTTTCCATGTGGAGATTTCAATCGCATTGAGACCAAAGGTAGAAAAGGAAACATCTTCGTATAAAAACTAGACAGAATCATTCACAGAAACTACTTTGTGATGTGTGTGTTCAACTCAAGGAGTTTAACCTTTCTTTTGATGGAGCAGTTTGGAAAAACTCTGTCTGTAAAGTCTGCAAGCAGATATTTGGACCTCTTTGAGGCCTTCGTTGGAAACGGGATTTCTTCATATAATGTTTGATAGGAGAAGTCTCAGTAACTTCTTTGTGCTGTGTGTATTCAACTCATAGAGTTGAACTTTCCTTTAGAAGAGCAGATGTTAAACACCCTTTTTGTGGAATTTGCAGCTGGAGATTTCAAGCGCTTTGAGGCCTACGGTAGAAAAGGAAACATCTTCTTATAAAATCTAGACAGAATCATTCACAGAAAGTTCTTTTTGATGTGTGTGTTCAGCTCACAGAGTTTAACCTTTCTTTTGATGGAGCAGTTGGGAAACACACTGTTTGTAATGTCTGCAAGTGGATATTTGGACCTCTTTGAGGCCTTCGTTGGAAACGGGATTTCTTCCTGTAATGTTCGACAGAAGAATTCTCAGTAACTTATTTGTGGTGTGTGTATTCAACTCACAGAGTTGAACCTTCCTTTAGACAGAGCAGATTTGAAACACCCTATTTGTGCAGTTTCCAGTTGGAGATTTCAATCGCTTTGAGACCAAATGTAGAAAAGGAAACATCTTCGTATAAAAACTAGACAGAATCATTCTCAGAAACTACTTTGTGATGTGTGCGTTCAACTCAAGGAGTTTAAGCTTTCTTTTCGTAGAGTAGTTTGGAAACACTCTGTCTGTAAAGTCTGCAAGCAGATATTTGGACCTATTTGAGGCCTTCGTTGGAAAAGGGATTTCTTCATAGAACGCTGGAAAGAAGAATACTGAGTAAGTTCTTTGTGTTGCCTCTATTCAACTCACAGAGGTGAACTGTCCTTTAGACAGAGCAGATGTGAAACCCTCTTTTTGTGATATTTGCAGGTGGAGATTTCAAGCGCTTTTAGGCCAAATGTAGAAAAGGAAATATCTTCGTATAAAAACTAGACAGAATCATTCTCAGAAACTACTTTGTGATGTGTGCGTTCAATTCACAGAGTATAACCTTTCTTTTGATGGAAGAGTTTGGAGACACTGTCTTTGTAAAGTCTGCAAGTGGATATTTGGACCTCTTTGAGGCCTTCGTTGGAAACGGGATTTCCTCATATAATGTTACACAGAAGAATTCTCAGTAACTTATTTGTGGTGTGTGTATTCAACTCACAGAGATGAACCTTCCTTCAGAAAGAGCAGATTTGAAACACTCTTTTTGTGGAGTTTCCATGTGGAGATTTCAATCGCATTGAGACCAAAGGTAGAAAAGGAAACATCTTCGTAGAAAAACTAGACAGAATCATTCACAGAAACTACTTTGTGATGTGTATGTTCAACTCAAGGAGTTTAACCTTTCTTTTGATGGAGCAGTTTGGAAACACTCTGTCTGTAAAGTCTGCAAGCAGATATTTGGACCTCTTTGAGGCCTTCGTTGGAAACGGGATTTCTTCATATAATGTTTGATAGGAGAAGTCTCAGTAACTTCTTTGTGCTGTGTGTATTCAACTCATAGAGTTGAACTTTCCTTTAGAAGAGCAGATGTTAATCACCCTTTTTGTGGAATTTGCAGCTGGAGATTTCAAGCGCTTTGAGGCCTACGGTAGAAAAGGAAACATCTTCTTATAAAATCTAGACAGAATCATTCACAGAAACTTCTTTTTGATGTGTGTGTTCAGCTCACAGAGTTTAACCTTTCTTTTGATGGAGCAGTTGGGAAACACACTGTTTGTAATGTCTGCAAGTGGATATTTGGACCCCTTGAGGCCTTCGTTGGAAACGGGATTTCTTCCTGTAATGTTCGACAGAAGAATTCTCAGTAACTTATTTGTGGTGTGTGTATTCAACTCACAGAGTTGAACCTTCCTTTAGACAGAGCAGATTTGAAACAGCCTATTTGTGCAGTTTCCAGTTGGAGATTTCAATCGCTTTGAGACCAAATGTAGAAAAGGAAACATCTTCGTATAAAAACTAGACAGAATCATTCTCAGAAACTACTTTGTGATGTGTGCGTTCAACTCAAGATGTTTAAGCTTTCTTTTCATAAAGTAGTTTGGAAACACTCTGTCTGTAAAGTCTGCAAGCAGATATTTGGACCTCTTTGAGGTCTTCGTTGGAAACGGGTTTTCTTCATGGAACGCTAGAAAGAAGAATACTGAGTAAGTTCTATGTGTTGCCTCTATTCAACTCACAGAGGTGAACTGTCCTTTAGACAGAGCAGATGTGAAACCCTCTTTTTGTGATATTTGCAGGTGGAGATTTCAAGTGCTTTTAGGCCAAATGTAGAAAAGGAAATATCTTCGTATAAAAACTAGTCAGAATCATTCTCAGAAACTACTTTGTGATGTGTGCGTTCAATTCACAGAGTATAACCTTTCTTTTGATGGAGGAGTTTGGAGACACTGTCTTTGTAAAGTCTGCAAGTGGATATTTGGACCTCTTTGAGGCCTTCGTTGGAAACGGGATTTCCTCATATAATGTTACACAGAAGAATTCTCAGTAACTTATTTGTGGTGTGTGTATTCAACTCACAGAGATGAACCTTCCTTCAGAAAGAGCAGATTTGAAACACTCTTTTTGTGGAGTTTCCATGTGGAGATTTCAATCGCTTTGAGACCAAAGGTAGAAAAGGAAACATCTTCGTATAAAAACTAGACAGAATCATTCACAGAAACTACTTTGTGATGTGTGTGTTCAACTCAAGGAGTTTAACCTTTCTTTTGATGGAGCAGTTTGGAAACACTCTGTCTGTAAAGTCTGCAAGTAGATATTTGGACCTCTTTGAGGCCTTCGTTGGAAACGGGATTTCTTCATATAATGTTTGATAGGAGAAGTCTCAGTAACTTCTTTATGCTGTGTGTATTCAACTCATAGAGTTGAACTTTCCTTTAGAAGAGCAGATGTTAAACACCCTTTTTGTGGAATTTGCAGCTGGAGATTTCAAGCGCTTTGAGGCCTACGGTAGAAAAGGAAATATCTTCTTATAAAATCTAGTCAGAATCATTCACAGAAACTTCTTTTTGATGTGTGTGTTCAGCTCACAGAGTTTAACCTTTCTTTTGATGGAGCAGTTTGGAAACACTCTGTAATGTCTGCAAGTGGATATTTGGACCTCTTTGAGGCCTTCGTTGGAAACGGGATTTCTTCATGTAATGTTCGACAGAAGAATTCTCAGTAACTTATTTGTGGTGTGTGTATTCAACTCACAGAGCTGAACCTTCCTTTAGACAGAGCAGATTTGAAACAGCCTATTTGTGCAGTTTCCAGTTGGAGATTTCAATCGCTTTGAGACCAAATGTAGAAAGGGAAACATCTTCGTATAAAAACTAGACAGAATCATTCTCAGAAACTACTTTGTGATGTGTGCGTTCAACTCAAGGAGTTTAAGCTTTCTTTTCATAGAGTAGTTTGGAAACACTCTGTCTGTAAAGTCTGCAAGCAGATATTTGACCTCTTTGAGGCCTTCGTTGGAAACGGGATTTCTTCATAGAACGCTAGAAAGAAGAATACTGAGTAAGTTCTTTGTGTTGCCTCTATTCAACTCACAGAGGTGAACTGTCCTTTAGGCAGAGCAGATGAGAAACCCTCTTTTTGTGATATTTGCAGGTGGAGATTTCAAGCGCTTTTAGGCCAAATGTAGAAAAGGAAATATCTTCGTATAAAAACTAGACAGAATCATTCTCAGAAACTATTTTGTGATGTGTGTGTTCAATTCACAGAGTATAACCTTTCTTTTGATGGAGGAGTTTGGAGACACTGTCTTTGTAAAGTCTGCAAGTGGATATTTGGACCTCTTTGAGGCCTTCGTTGGAAACGGGATTTCCTCATATAATGTTACACAGAAGAATTCTCAGTAACTTATTTGTGGTGTGTGTATTCAACTCACAGAGTTGAACCTTCCTTCAGAAAGAGCAGATTTGAAACACTCTTTTTGTGGAGTTTCCATGTGGAGATTTCAATCGCTTTGAGACCAAAGGTAGAAAAGGAAACATCTTCGTATAAAAACTAGACAGAATCATTCACAGAAACTACTTTGTGATGTGTGTGTTCAACTCAAGGAGTTTAACCTTTCTTTTGATGGAGCAGTTTGGAAACACTCTGTCTATAAAGTCTGCAAGCAGATATTTGGACCTCTTTGAGGCCTTCGTTGGAAACGGGATTTCTTCATATAATGTTTGATAGGGAGAAGTCTCAGTAACTTCTTTGTGCTGTGTGCATTCAACTCATAGAGTTGAACTTTCCTTTAGAAGAGCAGATGTTAAACACCCTTTTTGTGGAATTTGCAGCTGGAGATTTCAAGCGCTTTGAGGCCTACTGTAGAAAAGGAAACATCTTCTTATAAAATCTAGACAGATCATTCACAGAAACTTCTTTTTGATGTGTGTGTTCAGCTCACAGAGTTTAACCTTTCTTTTGATGGAGCAGTTGGGAAACACACTGTTTGTAATGTCCGCAAGTGGATATTTGGACCTCTTTGAGGCCTTCGTTGGAAACGGGATTTCTTCAAGTAATGTTCGACAGAAGAATTCTCAGTAACTTATTTGTGGTGTGTGTATTCAACTCACAGAGTTGAACCGTCCTTTAGACAGAGCAGATTTGAAACACCCTATTTGTGCAGTTTCCAGGTGTAGATTTCAATCGCTTTGAGACCAAATGTAGAAAAGGAAACATCTTCGTATAAAAACTAGACAGAATCATTCTCAGAAACTACTTTGTGATGTGTGCGTTCAACTCAAGGAGTTTAAGCTTTCTTTTCATAGAGTAGTTTGGAAACACTCTGTCTGTAAAGTCTGCAAGCAGATATTTGGACCTCTTTGGGGCCTTCGTTGGAAACGGGATTTCTTCATAGAACGCTAGAAAGAAGAATACTGAGTAAGTTCTTTGTGTTGCCTCTATTCAACTCACAGAGGTGAACTGTCCTTTAGACAGAGCAGATGTGAAACCCTCTTTTTGTGATATTTGCACGTGGAGATTTCAAGCGCTTTTAGGCCAAATGTAGAAAAGGAAATATCTTCGTATAAAAACTAGACAGAATCATTCTCAGAAACTACTTTGTGATGTGTGCGTTCAATTCACAGAGTATAACCTTTCTTTTGATGGAGGAGTTTGGAGACACTGTCTTTGTAAAGTCTGCAAGTGGATATTTGGACCTCTTTGAGGCCTTCGTTGGAAACGGGATTTCCTCATATAATGTTACACAGAAGAATTCTCAGTAACTTATTTGTGGTGTGTGTATTCAACTCACAGAGTTGAACCTTCCTTCAGAAAGAGCAGATTTGAAACACTCTTTTTGTGGAGTTTCCATGTGGAGATTTCAATCGCTTTGAGACCAAAGGTAGAAAAGGAAACATCTTCGTATAAAAACTAGACAGAATCATTCACAGAAACTACTTTGTGATGTGTGTGTTCAACTCAAGGAGTTTAACCTTTCTTTTGATGGAGCAGTTTGGAAACACTCTGTCTGTAAAGTCTGCAAGTAGATATTTGGACCTCTTTGAGGCCTTCGTTGGAAACGGGATTTCTTCATATAATGTTTGATAGGAGAAGTCTCAGTAACTTCTTTGTGCTGTGTGTATTCAACTCATAGAGTTGAACTTTCCTTTAGAAGAGCAGATGTTAAACACCCTTTTTGTGGAATTTGCAGCTGGAGATTTCAAGCGCTTTGAGGCCTACGGTAGAAAAGGAAACATCTTCTTATAAAATCTAGACAGAATCATTCACAGAAACTTCTTTTTGATGTGTGTGTTCAGCTCACAGAGTTTAACCTTTCTTTTGATGGAGCAGTTTGGAAACACTCTGTTTGTAATGTCTGCAAGTGGATATTTGGACCTCTTTGAGGTCTTCGTTGGAAACGGGATTTCTTCATGTAATGTTTGACAGAAGAATTCTCAGTAACTTATTTGTGGTGTGTGTATTCAACTCACAGAGTTGAAACTTCCTTTAGACAGAGCAGATTTGAAACACCCTATTTGTGCAGTTTCCAGTTGGAGATTTCAATCGCTTTGAGACCAAATGTAGAAAAGGAAACATCTTCGTATAAAAACTTGACAGAATCATTCTCAGAAACTACTTTGTGATGTGTGCGTTCAACTCAAGGAGTTTAAGCTTTCTTTTCATAGAGTAGTTTGGAAACACTCTGTCTGTAAAGTCTGCAAGCAGATATTTGGACCTCTTTGGGGCCTTCGTTGGAAACGGGATTTCTTCATAGAACGCTAGAAAGAAGAATACTGAGTAAGTTCCTTGTGTTGCCTCTATTCAACTCACAGAGGTGAACTGTCCTTTAGACAGAGCAGATGTGAAACCCTCTTTTTGTGATATTTGCACTTGGAGATTTCAAGCGCTTTTAGGCCAAATGTAGAAAAGGAAATATCTTCGTATAAAAACTAGACAGAATCATTCTCAGAAACTACTTTGTGATGTGTGCGTTCAATTCACAGAGTATAACCTTTCTTTTGATGGAGGAGTTTGGAGACACTGTCTTTGTAAAGTCTGCAAGTGGATATTTGGACCTCTTTGAGGCCTTCGTTGGAAACGGGATTTCCTCATATAATGTTACCCAGAAGAATTCTCAGTAACTTATTTGTGGTGTGTGTATTCAACTCACAGGGTTGAACCTTCCTTCAGAAAGAGCAGATTTGAAACACTCTTTTTGTGGAGTTTCCATGTGGAGATTTCAATCGCTTTGAGACCAAAGGTAGAAAAGGAAACATCTTCGTATAAAAACTAGACAGAATCATTCACAGAAACTACTTTGTGATGTGTGTGTTCAACTCAAGGAGTTTAACCTTTCTTTTGATAGAGCAGTTTGGAAACACTCTGTCTGTAAAGTCTGCAAGCAGATATTTGGACCTCTTTGAGGCCTTCGTTGGAAACGGGATTTCTTCATATAATGTTTGATAGGAGAAGTCTCAGTAACTTCTTTGTGCTGTGTGTATTCAACTCATAGAGTTGAACTTTCCTTTACAAGAGCAGATGTTAAACACCCTTTTTGTGGAATTTGCAGCTGGAGATTTCAAGCGCTTTGAGGCCTACGGTAGAAAAGGAAACATCTTCATATAAAATCTAGACAGAATCATTCACAGAAACTTCTTTTTGATGTGTGTGTTCAGCTCACAGAGTTTAACTTTCTTTTGATGGAGCAGTTTGGAAACACTCTGTTTGTAATGTCTGCAAGTGGATATTTGGACCTCTTTGAGACCTTCGTTGGAAACGGGATTTCTTCATGAAACGTTCGACTGAAGAATTCTCAGTAACTTATTTGTGGTGTGAGTATTCAACTCACAGAGTTGAACCTTCCTTTAGACAGAGCAGATATGAAACACCCTATTTGTGCAGTTTCCAGTTGGAGATTTCAATCGCTTTGAGACCAAATGTAGAAAAGGAAACATCTTCGTATAAAAACTAGACAGAATCATTCTCAGAAACTACTTTGTGATGTGTGCGTTCAACTCAAGGAGTTTAAGCTTTCTTTTCATAGAGTAGTTTGGAAACACTCTGTCTGTAAAGTCTGCAAGCAGATATTTGGACCTCTTTGAGGCCTTCATTGGAAATGGGATTTCTTCATAGAACGCTAGAAAGAAGAATACTGAGTAAGTTCTTTGTGTTGCCTCTATTCAACTCACAGAGGTGAACTGTCCTTCAGACAGAGCAGATGTGAAACCCTCTTTTTGTGATATTTGCAGGTGGAGATTTCAAGCGCTTTTAGGCCAAATGTAGAAAAGGAAATATCTTCGTATAAAAACTAGACAGAATCATTCTCAGAAACTACTTTGTGATGTGTGCGTTCAATTCACAGAGTATAACCTTTCTTTTGATGGAGGAGTTTGGAGACACTGTCTTTGTAAAGTCTGCAAGTGGATATTTGGATCTCTTTGAGGCCTTCGTTGGAAACGGGATTTCCTAATATAATGTTACACAGAAGAATTCTCAGTAACTTATTTGTGGTGTGTGTATTCAACTCACAGAGTTGAACCTTCCTTCAGAAAGAGCAGATTTGAAACACTCTTTTTGTGGAGTTTCCATGTGGAGATTTCAATCGCTTTGAGACCAAAGGTAGAAAAGGAAACATCTTAGTATAAAAACTAGACAGAATCATTCACAGAAACTACTTTGTGATGTGTGTGTTCAACTCAAGGAGTTTAACCTTTCTTTTGATGGAGCAGTTTGGAAACACTCTGTCTGTAAAGTCTGCAAGCAGATATTTGGACCTCTTTGAGGCCTTCGTTGGAAACGGGATTTCTTCATATAATGTTTGATAGGAGAAGTCTCATTAACTTCTTTGTGCTGTGTGTATTCAACTCATTGAGTTGAACTTTCCTTTAGAAGACCAGATGTTAAACACCCTTTTTGTGGAATTTGCAGCTGGAGATTTCAAGCGCTTTGAGGCCTACGGTAGAACAGGAAACATCTTCTTATAAAATCTAGACAGAAACATTCACAGAAACTTCTTTTTGATGTGTGTGTTCAGCTCACAGAGTTTAACCTTTCTTTTGATGGAGCAGTTTGGAAACACTCTGTAATGTCTTCAAGTGGATATTTGGACCTCTTTGAGGCCTTCGTTGGAAACGGGATTTCTTCATGTAATGTTCGACAGAAAGAATTCTCAGTAACTTATTTGTGGTGTGTGTATTCAACTCACAGAGTTGAACCTTCCTTTAGACAGAGCAGATTTGAAACACCCTATTTGTGCAGTTTCCAGTTGGAGATTTCAATCACTTTGAGGCCAATCATAGAAACAGAAATAACTTTGTATAAAAACAAGACAGAATCATTCTCAGAAACTACTTTGTGATGTGTGCGTTCAACTCAAGGAGTTTAAGCTTTCTTTTCATAGAGTAGTTTGGAAACACTCTGTCTGTAAAGTCTGCAAGCAGATATTTGGACCTCTTTGGGGCCTTCGTTGGAAACGGGATTTCTTCATAGAACGCTAGAAAGAAGAATACTCAGTAAGTTCTTTGTGTTGCCTCTATTCAACTCACAGAGGTGAACTGTCCTTTAGACAGAGCAGATGTGAAACCCTCTTTTTGTGATATTTGCAGGTGGAGATTTCAAGCGCTTTTAGGCCAAATGTAGAAAAGGAAATATCTTCGTATAAAAACTAGACAGAATCATTCTCAGAAACTACTTTGTGATGTGTGCGTTCAATTCACAGAGTATAACCTTTCTTTTGATGGAGGAGTTTGGAGACACTGTCT
Source organism: Homo sapiens (assembly GCF_000001405.40). Taxonomy (NCBI): domain Eukaryota; kingdom Metazoa; phylum Chordata; class Mammalia; order Primates; family Hominidae; genus Homo; species Homo sapiens. The sequence goes on from NC_000012.12 coordinate 37,099,389, forward strand.
TTGTAAGTCTGCAAGTGGATATTTGGACCTCTTTGAGGCCTTCGTTGGAAACGGGATTTCCTCATATAATGTTACACAGAAGAATTCTCAGTAACTTATTTGTGGTGTGTGTATTCAACTCACAGAGATGAACCTTCCTTCAGAAAGAGCAGATTTGAAACACTCTTTTTGTGGAGTTTCCATGTGGAGATTTCAATCGCTTTGAGACCAAAGGTAGAAAAGGAAACATCTTCGTATAAAAACTAGACAGAATCATTCACAGAAACTACTTTGTGATGTGTGTGTTCAACTCAAGGAGTTTAACCTTTCTTTTGATGGAGCAGTTTGGAAACACTCTGTCTGTAAAGTCTGCAAGCAGATATTTGGACCTCTTTGAGGCCTTCGTTGGAAACGGGATTTCTTCATATAATGTTTGATAGGAGAAGTCTCAGTAACTTCTTTGTGCTGTGTGTATTCAACTCATAGATTTGAACTTTCCTTTAGAAGAGCAGATGTTAAACACCCTTTTTGTGGAATTTGCAGCTGGAGATTTCAAGCGCTTTGAGGCCTACGGTAGAAAAGGAAACATCTTCTTATAAAATCTAGACAGAATCATTCACAGAAGCTTCTTTTTGATGTGTGTGTTCAGCTCACAGAGTTTAACCTTTCTTTTGATGGAGCAGTTTGGAAACACTCTGTTTGTAATGTCTGCAAGTGGATATTTGGACCTCTTTGAGGCCTTCGTTGGAAACGGGATTTCTTCATGTAATGTTCGACAGAAGAATTCTCAGTAACTTATTTGTGGTGTGTGTATTCAACTCACAGAGTTGAACCTTCCTTTAGACAGAGCAGATTTGAAACACCCTATTTGTGCAGTTTCCAGTTGGAGATTTCAATCGCTTTGAGACCAAATGTAGAAAAGGAAACATCTTCGTATAAAAACTAGACAGAATCATTCTCCGAAACTACTTTGTGATGTGTGCGTTCAACTCAAGGAGTTTAAGCTTTCTTTTCATAGAGTAGTTTGGAAACACTCTGTCTGTAAAGTCTGCAAGCAGATATTTGGACCTCTTTGGGGCCTTCGTTGGAAACGGGATTTCTTCATAGAACGCTAGAAAGAAGAATACTCAGTAACTTCCTTGTGTTGCCTCTATTCAACTCACAGAGGTGAACTGTCCTTTAGACAGAGCAGATGTGAAACCCTCTTTTTGTGATATTTGCAGGTGGAGATTTCAAGCGCTTTTAGGCCAAATGTGGAAAAGGAAATATCTTCGTAGAAAAACTAGACAGAATCATTCTCAGAAACTACTTTGTGATGTGTGCGTTCAATTCACAGAGTATAACCTTTCTTTTGATGGAGGAGTTTGGAGACACTGTCTTTGTAAAGTCTGCAAGTGGATATTTGGACCTCTTTGAGGCCTTCGTTGGAAACGGGATTTCCTCATATAATGTTACACAGAAGAATTCTCAGTAACTTATTTGTGGTGTGTGTATTCAACTCACAGAGTTGAACCTTCCTTCAGAAAGAGCAGATTTGAAACACTCTTTTTGTGGAGTTTCCATGTGGAGATTTCAATCGCTTTGAGACCAAAGGTAGAAAAGGAAACATCTTCGTATAAAAACTAGACAGAATCATTCACAGAAACTACTTTGTGATGTGTGTGTTCAACTCAAGGAGTTTAACCTTTCTTTTGATGGAGCAGTTTGGAAATACTCTGTCTGTAAAGTCTGCAAGCAGATATTTGGACCTCTTTGAGGCCTTCGTTGGAAACGGGATTTCTTCATATAATGTTTGATAGGAGAAGTCTCAGTAACTTCTTTGTGCTGTGTGTATTCAACTCATAGAGTTGAACTTTCCTTTAGAAGAGCAGATGTTAAACACCCTTTTTGTGGAATTTGCAGCTGGAGATTTCAAGCGCTTTGAGGCCTATGGTAGAAAAGGAAACATCTTCTTATAAAATCTAGACAGAATCATTCACAGAAACTTCTTTTTGATGTGTGTGTTCAGCTCACAGAGTTTAACCTTTCTTTTGATGGAGCAGTTTGGAAACACTCTGTTTGTAATGTCTGCAAGTGGATATTTGGACCTCTTTGAGGCCTTCGTTGGAAACGGGATTTCTTCAAGTAATGTTCGGGAGAAGAATTCTCAGTAACTTATTTGTGGTGTGTGTATTCAACTCACAGAGTTGAACCTTCCTTTAGACAGAGCAGATTTGAAACACCCTATTTGTGCAGTTTCCAGTTGGAGATTTCAATCGCTTTGAGACCAAATGTAGAAAAGGAAACATCTTCGTATAAAAACTAGACAGAATCATTCTCAGAAACTACTTTGTGATGTGTGCGTTCAACTCAAGGAGTTTAAGCTTTCTTTTCATAGAGTAGTTTGGAAACACTCTGTCTGTAAAGTCTGCAAGCAGATATTTGGACCTCTTTGAGGCCTTCGTTGGAAACGGGATTTCTTCATGTAACGCTAGAAAGAAGAATACTGAGTACGTTCTTTGTGTTGCCTCTATTCAACTCACAGAGGTGAACTGTCCTTTAGACAGAGCAGATGTGAAACCCTCTTTTTGTGATATTTGCAGGTGGAGATTTCAAGCGCTTTTAGGCCAAATGTAGAAAAGGAAATATCTTCGTATAAAAACTAGACAGAATCATTCTCAGAAACTACTTTGTGATGTGTGCGTTCAATTCACAGAGTATAACCTTTCTTTTGATGGAGGAGTTTGGAGACACTGTCTTTGTAAAGTCTGCAAGTGGATATTTGGACCTCTTTGAGGCCTTCGTTGGAAACGGGATTTCCTCATATAATGTTACACAGAAGAATTCTCAGTAACTTATTTGTGGTGTGTGTATTCAACTCACAGAGTTGAACCTTCCTTCAGAAAGAGCAGATTTGAAACACTCTTTTTGTGGAGTTTCCATGTGGAGATTTCAATCGCTTTGAGACCAAAGGTAGAAAAGGAAACATCTTCGTATAAAAACTAGACAGAATCATTCACAGAAACTACTTTGTGATGTGTGTGTTCAACTCAAGGAGTTTAACCTTTCTTTTGATGGAGCAGTTTGGAAACACTCTGTTTGTAAAGTCTGCAAGCAGATATTTGGACCTCTTTGAGGCCTTCGTTGGAAACGGGATTTCTTCATATAATGTTTGATAGGAGAAGTCTCAGTAACTTCTTTGTGCTGTGTGTATTCAACTCACAGAGCTGAACTTTACTTTAGACAGAGCAGATGTTAAACACACTTTTCGTGGAATTTGCAGCTGGAGATTTCTAGCGCTTTGAGGCCTATGGTAGAAAAGGAAACATCTTCTTATAAAATCTAGACAGAATCATTCACAGAAACTTCTTTTCGATGTGTGTGTTCAGCTCACAGAGTTTAACCTTTCTTTTGATGGAGCAGTTTGGAAACACTCTGTTTGTAATGTCTGCAAGTGGATATTTGGACCTCTTTGAGGCCTTCGTTGGAAACGGGATTTCTTCAAGTAATGGTCGACAGAAGAATTCTCAGTAACTTATTTGTGGTGTGTGTATTCAACTCACAGAGTTGAACCTTCCTTTAGACAGAGCAGATTTGAAACACTCTTTTTGTGGAGTTTCCAGTTGGAGATTTCAATCGCTTTGAGACCAAATGTAGAAAAGGAAACATCTTCGTATAAAAACTAGACAGAATAATTCTCAGAAACTACTTTCTGATGTGTGCGTTCAACTCAAGGAGTTTAATCTTTCTTTTCATAGAGTAGTTTGGAAACACTCTGTCTGTAAAGTCTGCAAGCAGATATTTGGACCTCTTTGGGGACTTCGTTAGAAACGGGATTTCTTCATAGAACGATAGAAAGAAGAATACTGAGTAAGTTCTTTGTGTTGCCTCTATTCAACTCACAGAGGTGAACTGTCCTTTAGACGGAGCAGATGTGAAACCCTCTTTTTGTGATATTTGCTGGTGGAGATTTCAAGCGCTTTTAGGCCAAATGTAGAAAAGGAAATATCTTCGTATAAAAACTAGACAGAATCATTCTCAGAAACTACTTTGTGATGTGTGCGTTCAATTCACAGAGTATAACCTTTCTTTTCATGGAGGAGTTTGGAGACACTGTCTTTGTAAAGTCTGCAAGTGGATATTTGGACCTCTTGCAGGCCTTCGTTGGAAACGGGATTTCCTCATATAATGTTACACAGAAGAATTCCTCAGTAACTTATTTGTGGTGTGTGTATTCAACTCACAGAGATGAACCTTCCTTCAGAAAGAGCAGATTTGAAACACTCTTTTTGTGGAGTTTCCATGTGGAGATTTCAATCGCTTTGAGACCAAAGGTAGAAAAGGAAACATCTTCGTATAAAAACTAGACAGAATCATTGACAGAAACTACTTTGTGATGTGTGTGTTCAACTCAAGGAGTTTAACCTTCGTTTTCATGGAGCAGTTTGGAAACACTCTGTCTGTAAAGTCTGCAAGCAGATATTTGAACCTCTTTGAGGCCTTCGTTGGAAACGGGATTTCTTCATATAATGTTTGATAGGAGAAGACTCAGTAACTTCTTTGTGCTGTGTGTATTCAACTCACAGAGCTGAACTTTTCTTTAGACAGAGCAGATGTCAAACACACTTTTTGTGGAATTTGCAGCTGGAGATTTCTAGTGCTTTGAGGAATATGGTAGAAAAGGAAACATCTTCTTATAAAATCTAGACGACAGAATCATTCACAGAAACTTCTTTTTGATGTGTGTGTTCATCTCACAGAGTTTAAACTTTCTTTTGACGGAGCAGTTTGCAAACACTGTGTTTGCCATGTCGGCAAGTGGATATTTGGACCTCTTTGCGGCCTTCGTTGGAAACAGGATTTCTTCATGTAATGTTCGAGCGAAGAATTCTCAGTAACTTATTTGTGGTGTGTGTATTCAACACACAGAGTTGAACCTTCCTTTAGACAGAGCAGATTTGAAACACCCTATTTGTGCAGTTTCCAGTTGGAGATTTCAATCGCTTTGAGACCAAATGTAGAAAAGGAAACATCTTCGTATAAAAACTAGACAGAATCATTCTCAGAAACTACTTTGTGATGTGTGCGTTCAACTCAAGGAGTTTAAGCTTTCTTTTCATAGAGTAGTTTGGAAACACTCTGTCTGTAAAGTGTGCAAGCAGATATTTGGACCTCTTTGGGGCCTTCGTTGGAAACGGGATTTCTTCATAGAACGCTAGAAAGAAGAATACTGAGTACGTTCTTTGTGTTGCCTCTATTCAACTCACAGAGGTGAACTGTCCTTTAGACAGAGCAGATGTGAAACCCTCTTTTTGTGATATTTGCAGGTGGAGATTTCAAGCGCTTTTAGGCCAAATGTAGAAAAGGAAATATCTTCGTATAAAAACTAGACAGAATCATTCTCAGAAACTACTTTGTGATGTGTGCGTTCAATTCACAGAGTATAACTTTTCTTTTGATGGAGGAGTTTGGAGACACTGTCTTTGTAAAGTCTGCAAGTGGATATTTGGACCTCTTTGAGGCCTTCGTTGGAAACGGGATTTCCTCGTATAATGTTACACAGAAGAATTCTCAGTAACTTATTTGTGGTGTGTGTATTCAACTCACAGAGATGAACCTTCCTTCAGAAAGAGCAGATTTGAAACACTCTTTTTGTGGAGTTTCCATGTGGAGATTTCAATCGCTTTGAGACCAAAGGTAGAAAAGGAAACATCTTCGTATAAAAACTAGACAGAATCATTCACAGAAACTACTTTGTGATGTGTGTGTTCAACTCAAGGAGTTTAACCTTTCTTTTGATGGAGCAGTTTGGAAAAACTCTGTCTGTAAAGTCTGCAAGCAGATATTTGGACCTCTTTGAGGCCTTCGTTGGAAACGGGATTTCTTCATATAATGTTTGATAGGAGAAGTCTCAGTAACTTCTTTGTGCTGTGTGTATTCAACTCATAGAGTTGAACTTTCCTTTAGAAGAGCAGATGTTAAACACCCTTTTTGTGGAATTTGCAGCTGGAGATTTCAAGCGCTTTGAGGCCTACGGTAGAAAAGGAAACATCTTCTTATAAAATCTAGACAGAATCATTCACAGAAACTTCTTTTTGATGTGTGTGTTCAGCTCACAGAGTTTAACCTTTCTTTTGATGGAGCAGTTTGGAAACACTCTGTATGTAATGTCTGCAAGTGGATATTTGGACCTCTTTGAGGCCTTCGTTGGAAACGGGATTTCTTCAAGTAATGTTCGACAGAAGAATTCTCAGTAACTTATTTGTGGTGTGTGTATTCAACTCAAAGAGTTGAACCTTCCTTTAGACAGAGCAGATTTGAAACACCCTATTTGTGCAGTTTCCAGTTGGAGATTTCAATCGCTTTGAGACCAAATGTAGAAAAGGAAACATCTTCGTATAAAAACTAGACAGAATCATTCTCAGAAACTACTTTGTGATGTGTGCGTTCAACTCAAGGAGTTTAAGCTTTCTTTTCATAGAGTAGTTTGGAAACACTCTGTCTGTAAAGTCTGCAAGCAGATATTTGGACCTATTTGAGGCCTTCGTTGGAAAAGGGATTTCTTCATAGAACGCTGGAAAGAAGAATACTGAGTAAGTTCTTTGTGTTGCCTCTATTCAACTCACAGAGGTGAACTGTCCTTTAGACAGAGCAGATGTGAAACCCTCTTTTTGTGATATTTGCAGGTGGAGATTTCAAGCGCTTTTAGGCCAAATGTAGAAAAGGAAATATCTTCGTATAAAAACTAGACAGAATCATTCTCAGAAACTACTTTGTGATGTGTGCGTTCAATTCACAGAGTATAACCTTTCTTTTGATGGAGGAGTTTGGAGACACTGTCTTTGTAAAGTCTGCAAGTGGATATTTGGATCTCTTTGAGGCCTTCGTTGGAAACGGGATTTCCTCATATAATGTTACCCAGAAGAATTCTCAGTAACTTATTTGTGGTGTGTGTATTCAACTCACAGAGATGAACCTTCCTTCAGAAAGAGCAGATTTGAAACACTCTTTTTGTGGAGTTTCCATGTGGAGATTTCAATCGCTTTGAGACCAAAGGTAGAAAAGGAAACATCTTCGTATAACAACTAGACAGAATCATTCACAGAAACTACTTTGTGATGTGTGTGTTCAGCTCAAGGAGTTTAACCTTTCTTTTGATGGAGCAGTTTGGAAACACTCTGTCTGTAAAGTCTGCAAGCAGATATTTGGACCTCTTTGAGGCCTTCGTTGGAAACGGGATTTCTTCATATAATGTTTGATAGGAGAAGTCTCAGTAACTTCTTTGTGCTGTGTGTATTCAACTCATAGAGTTGAACTTTCCTTTAGAAGAGCAGATGTTAAACACCCTTTTTGTGGAATTTGCAGCTGGAGATTTCAAGCGCTTTGAGGCCTACGGTAGAAAAGGAAACATCTTCTTATAAAATCTAGACAGAATCATTCACAGAAACTTCTTTTTGATGTGTGTGTTCAGCTCACAGAGTTTAACCTTTCTTTTGATGGAGCAGTTTTGGAAACACTCTGTTTGTAATGTCTGCAAGTGGATATTTGGACCTCTTTGAGGCCTTCGTTGGAAACGGGATTTCTTCAAGTAATGTTCGACGGAAGAATTCTCAGTAACTTATTTGTGGTGTGTGTATTCAACTCACAGAGTTGAACCTTCCTTTAGACAGAGCAGATTTGAAACACCCTATTTGTGCAGTTTCCAGTTGGAGATTTCAATCGCTTTGAGACCAAATGTAGAAAAGGAAACATCTTCGTATAAAAACTAGACAGAATCATTCTCAGAAACTACTTTGTGATGTGTGCGTTCAACTCAAGGAGTTTAAGCTTTCTTTTCATAGAGTAGTTTGGAAACACTCTGTCTGTAAAGTCTGCAAGCAGATATTTGGACCTCTTTGGGGCCTTCGTTGGAAACGGGATTTCTTCATAGAACGCTAGAAAGAAGAATACTGAGTAAGTTCTTTGTGTTGCCTCTATTCAACTCACAGAGGTGAACTGTCCTTTAGACAGAGCAGATGTGAAACCCTCTTTTTGTGATAGTTGCAGGTGGAGATTTCAAGCGCTTTTAGGCCAAATGTAGAAAAGGAAATATCTTCGTATAAAAACTAGACAGAATCATTCTCAGAAACTACTTTGTGATGTGTGCGTTCAATTCACAGAGTATAACCTTTCTTTTGATGGAGGAGTTTGGAGACACTGTCTTTGTAAAGTCTGCAAGTGGATATTTGGACCTCTTTGAGGCCTTCGTTGGAAACGGGATTTCCTCATATAATGTTACCCAGAAGAATTCTCAGTAACTTATTTGTGGTGTGTGTATTCAACTCACAGAGTTGAACCTTCCTTCAGAAAGAGCAGATTTGAAACACTCTTTTTGTGGAGTTTCCATGTGGAGATTTCAATCGCTTTGAGACCAAAGGTAGAAAAGGAAACATCTTCGTATAAAAACTAGACAGAATCATTCACAGAAACTACTTTGTGATGTGTGTGTTCAACTCAAGGAGGTTAACCTTTCTTTTGACGGAGCAGTTTGGAAACACTCTGTCTGTAAAGTCTGCAAGCAGATATTTGGACCTCTTTGAGGCCTTCGTTGGAAATGGGATTTCTTCATATAATGTTTGATAGGAGTAGTCTCAGTAACTTCTTTGTGCTGTGTGTATTCAACTCATAGAGTTGAACTTTCCTTTAGAAGAGCAGATGTTAAACACCCTTTTTGTGGAATTTGCAGCTGGAGATTTCAAGCGCTTTGAGGCCTACGGTAGAAAAGGAAACATCTTCTTATAAAATCTAGAGAGAATCATTCACAGAAACTTCTTTTTGATGTGTGTGTTCAGCTCACAGAGTTTAACCTTTCTTTTGATGGAGCAGTTTGGAAACACTCTGTAATGTCTGCAAGTGGATATTTGGACCTCTTTGAGGCCTTCGTTGGAAACGGGATTTCTTCATGTAATGTTCGACAGAAGAATTCTCAGTAACTTATTTGTGGTGTGTGTATTCAACTCACAGAGTTGAACCTTCCTTTAGACAGAGCAGATTTGAAACACCCTATTTGTGCAGTCTCCAGTTGGAGATTTCAATCGCTTTGAGACCAAATGTAGAAAAGGAAACATCTTCGTACAAAAACTAGACAGCATCATTCTCAGAAACTACTTTGTGATGTGTGCGTTCAACTCAAGGAGTTTAAGCTTTCTTTTCATAGAGTAGTTTGGAAACACTCTGTCTGTAAAGTCTGCAAGCAGATATTTGGACCTCATTGGGGTCTTCGTTGGAAACGGGATTTCTTCATAGAACGCTAGAAAGAAGAATACTGAGTAAGTTCTTTGTGTTGCCTCTATTCAACTCACAGAGGTGAACTGTCCTTTAGACAGAGCAGATGTGAAACCCTCTTTTTGTGATATTTGCAGGTGGAGATTTCAAGCACTTTTAGGCCAAATGTAGAAAAGGAAATATCTTCGTATAAAAACTAGACAGAATCATTCTCAGAATCTACTTTGTGATGTGTGCGTTCAATTCACAGAGTATATCCTTTCTTTTGATGGAGGAGTTTGGAGACACTGTCTTTGTAAAGTCTGCAAGTGGATATTTGGACCTCTTTGAGGCCTTCGTTGGAAACGGGATTTCCTCATATAATGTTACACAGAAGAATTCTCAGTAACTTATTTGTGGGTGTGTGTATTCAACTCACAGAGATGAACCTTCCTTCAGAAAGAGCAGATTTGAAACACTCTTTTTGTGGAGTTTCCATGTGGAGATTTCAATCGCTTTGAGACCAAAGGTAGAAAAGGAAACATCTTCGTATAACAACTAGACAGAATCATTCACAGAAACTACTTTGTGATGTGTGTGTTCAACTCAAGGAGTTTAACCTTTCTTTTGATGGAGCAGTTTGGAAACACTCTGTCTGTAAAGTCTGCAAGCAGATATTTGGACCTCTTTGAGGCCTTCGTTGGAAACGGGATTTCTTCATATAATGTTTGATAGGAGAAGTCTCAGTAACTTCTTTGTGCTGTGTGTATTCAACTCATAGAGTTGAACTTTCCTTTAGAAGAGCAGATGTTAAACACCCTTTTTGTGGAATTTGCAGCTGGAGATTTCAAGCGCTTTGAGGCCTACGGTAGAAAAGGAAACATCTTCTTATAAAATCTAGACAGAATAATTCACAGAAACTTCTTTTTGATGTGTGTGTTCAGCTCACCGAGTTTAACCTTTCTTTTGATGGAGCAGTTTGGAAACACTCTGTTTGTAATATCTGCAAGTGGATATTTGGACCTCTTTGGGGCCTTCGTTGGAAACGGGATTTCTTCAAGTAATGTTCGACAGAAGAATTCTCAGTAACTTATTTGTGGTGTGTGTATTCAACTCACAGAGTTGAACCTTCCTTTAGACAGAGCAGATTTGAAACACCCTATTTGTGCAGTTTCCAGTTGGAGATTTCAATCGCTTTGAGGCCAATCATAGAAACGGAAATATCTTCGTATAAAAACAAGACAGAATCATTCTCAGAAACTACTTTGTGATGTGTGCGTTCAACTCAAGGAGTTTAAGCTTTCTTTTCATAGAGTAGTTTGGAAACACTCTGTCTGTAAAGTCTGCAAGCAGATATTTGGACCTTTTTGAGGCCTTCGTTGGAAACGGGATTTCTTCATAGAACGCTAGAAAGAAGAATACTGAGTAAGTTCTTTGTGTTGCCTCTATTCAACTCACAGAGGTGAACTGTCCTTTAGACAGAGCAGATGTGAAACCCTCTTTTTGTGATATTTGCAGGTGGAGATTTCAAGCGCTTTTAGGCCAAATGTAGAAAAGGAAATATCTTCTTATAAAAACTAGACAGAATCATTCTCAGAAACTACTTTGTGATGTGTGCGTTCAATTCACAGAGTATAACCTTTCTTTTGATGGAGGAGTTTGGAGACACTGTCTTTGTAAAGTCTGCAAGTGGATATTTGGACCTCTTTGAGGCCTTCGTTGGAAACGGGATTTCCTCATATAATGTTACACAGAAGAATTCTCAGTAACTTATTTGTGGTGTGTGTATTCAACTCACAGAGTTGAACCTTCCTTCAGAAAGAGCAGATTTGAAACACTCTTTTTGTGGAGTTTCCATGTGGAGATTTCAATCGCTTTGAGACCAAAGGTAGAAAAGGAAACATCTTCGTATAAAAACTAGACAGAATCATTCACAGAAACTACTTTGTGATGTGTGTGTTCAACTCAAGGAGTTTAACCTTTCTTTTGATGGAGCAGTTTGGAAACACTCTGTCTGTAAAGTCTGCAAGCAGATATTTGGACCTCTTTGAGGCCTTCGTTGGAAACGGGATTTCTTCATATAATGTTTGATAGGAGAAGTCTCAGTAACTTCTTTGTGCTGTGTGTATTCAACTCATTGAGTTGAACTTTCCTTTAGAAGAGCAGATGTTAAACACCCTTTTTGTGGAATTTGCAGCTGGAGATTTCAAGCGCTTTGAGTCCTACGGTAGAAAAGGAAACATCTTCTTATAAAATCTAGACAGAATCATTCACAGAAACTTCTTTTTGATGTGTGTGTTCAGCTCACAGAGTTTAACCTTTCTTTTGATGGAGCAGTTTGGAAACACTCTGTTTGTAATGTCTGCAAGTGGATATTTGGACCTCTTTGAGGCCTTCGTTGGAAACGGGATTTCTTCAAGTAATGTTCGACAGAAGAATTCTCAGTAACTTATTTGTGGTGTGTGTATTCAACTCACAGAGTTGAACCTTCCTTTAGACAGAGCAGATTTGAAACACCCTATTTGTGCAGTTTCCAGTTGGAGATTTCAATCGCTTTGAGACCAAATGTAGAAAAGGAAACATCTTCGTATAAAAACTAGACAGAATCATTCTCAGAAACTACTTTGTGATGTGTGCGTTCAACTCAAGGAGTTTAAGCTTTCTTTTCATAGAGTAGTTTGGAAACACTCTGTCTGTAAAGTCTGCAAGCAGATATTTGGACCTCTTTGAGGCCTTCGTTGGAAACGGGATTTCTTCATAGAACGCTAGAAAGAAGAATACTGAGTAAGTTCTTTGTGTTGCCTCTATTTCAACTCACAGAGGTGAACTGTCCTTCAGACAGAGCAGATGTGAAACCCTCTTTTTGTGATATTTGCAGGTGGAGATTTCAAGCGCTTTTAGGCCAAATGTAGAAAAGGAAATATCTTCGTATAAAAACTAGACAGAATCATTCTCAGAAACTACTTTGTGATGTGTGCGTTCAATTCACAGAGTATAACCTTTCTTTTGATGGAGGAGTTTGGAGACACTGTCTTTGTAAGTCTGCAAGTGGATATTTGGACCTCTTTGAGGCCTTCATTGGAAACGGGATTTCCTCATATAATGTTACACAGAAGAATTCTCAGTAACTTATTTGTGGTGTGTGTATTCAACTCACAGAGTTGAACCTTCCTTCAGAAAGAGCAGATTTGAAACACTCTTTTTGTGGAGTTTCCATGTGGAGATTTCAATCGCTTTGAGACCAAAGGTAGAAAAGGAAACATCTTCGTATAAAAACTGGACAGAATCATTCACAGAAACTACTTTGTGATGTGTGTGTTCAACTCAAGGGAGTTTAACCTTTCTTTTGATGGAGCAGTTTGGAAACACTCTGTCTGTAAAGTCTGCAAGCAGATATTTGGACCTCTTTGAGGCCTTCGTTGGAAACGGGATTTCTTCATATAATGTTTGATAGGAGAAGTCTCAGTAACTTCTTTGGGCTGTGTGTATTCAACTCGTTGAGTTGAACTTTCCTTTAGAAGAGCAGATGTTAAACACCCTTTTTGTGGAATTTGCAGCTGGAGATTTCAAGCACTTTGAGGCCTACGGTAGAAAAGGAAACATCTTCTTATAAAATCTAGACAGAATCATTCACAGAAACTTCTTTTCGATGTGTGTGTTCAGCTCACAGAGTTTAACCTTTCTTTTGATGGAGCAGTTTGGAAACACTCTGTTTGTAATGTCTGCTAGTGGATATTTGGACCTCTTTGAGGCCTTCGTTGGAAACGGGATTTCTTCAAGTAATGGTCGACAGAAGAATTCTCAGTAACTTATTTGTGGTGTGTGTATTCAACTCAAAGAGTTGAACCTTCCTTTAGACAGAGCAGATTTGAAACACCCTATTTGTGCAGTTTCCAGTTGGAGATTTCAATCGCTTTGAGACCAAATGTAGAAAAGGAAACATCTTCGTATAAAAACTAGACAGAATCATTCTCAGAAACTACTTTGTGATGTGTGCGTTCAACTCACGGAGTTTAAGCTTTCTTTTCTTAGAGTAGTTTGGAAACACTCTGTCTGTAAAGTCTGCAAGCAGATATTTGGACCTCTTTGAGGCCTTCGTTGGAAACGGGATTTCTTCATATAACGCTAGAAAGACGAATACTGAGTAAGTTCTTTGTGTTGCCTCTATTCAACTCACAGAGGTGAACTGTCCTTTAGACAGAGCAGATGTGAAACCCTCTTTTTGTGATATTTGCACGTGGAGATTTCAAGCGCTTTTAGGCCAAATGTAGAAAAGGAAATATCTTCGTATAAAAACTAGACAGAATCATTCTCAGAAACTACTTTGTGATGTGTGCGTTCAATTCACAGAGTATAACCTTTCTTTTGATGGAGGAGTTTGGAGATACTGTCTTTGTAAAGTCTGCAAGTGGATATTTGGACCTCTTTGAGGCCTTCGTTGGAAACGGGATTTCCTCATATAATGTTACACAGAAGAATTCTCAGTAACTTATTTTTGCTGTGTGTATTCAACTCACAGAGTTGAACCTTCCTTCAGAAAGAGCAGATATGAAACACTCTTTTTGTGGAGTTTCCATGTGGAGATTTTAATCGCTTTGAGACCAAAGGTAGAAAGGGAAACATCTTCGTATAAAAACTAGACAGAATCATTCACAGAAACTACTTTGTGATGTGTGTGTTCAACTCAAGGAGGTTAACCTTTCTTTTGATGGAGCAGTTTGGAAACAGTCTGTCTGTAAAGTCGGCAAGCAGATATTTGGACCTCTTTGAGGCCTTCGTTGGAAACGGGATTTCTTCATATAATGTTTGATAGGAGAAGTCTCAGTAACTTCTTTGTGCTGTGTGTATTCAACTCATAGAGTTGAACTTTCCTTTAGAAGAGCAGATGTTAAACACCCTTTTTGTGGAATTTGCAGCTGGAGATTTCAAGCGCTTTGAGGCCTACGGTAGAAAAGGAAACATCTTCTTATAAAATCTAGACATAATCATTCACAGAAACTACTTTTTGATGTGTGTGTTCAGCTCACAGAGTTTAACCTTTCTTTTGATGGAGTAGTTTGGAAACACACTGTTTGTAATGTCTGCAAGTGGATATTTGGACCTCTTTGAGGCCTTCGTTGGAAACGGGATTTCTTCATGTAATGTTCGACAGAAGAATTCTCAGTAACTTATTTGTGGTGTGTGTATTCAACTCACAGAGATGAACCTTCCTTTAGACAGAGCAGATTTGAAACACCCTATTTGTGCAGTTTCCAGTTGGAGATTTCAATCGCTTTGAGACCAAATGTAGAAAAGGAAACATCTTCGTATAAAAACTAGACAGAATCATTCTCAGAAACTACTTTGTGATGTGTGCGTTCAACTCAAGGAGTTTAAGCTTTCTTTTCATAGAGTAGTTTGGAAACACTCTGTCTGTAAAGTCTGCAAGCAGATATTTGGACCTCTTTAGGGCCTTCGGTTGGAAACGGGATTTCTTCATAGAACGCTAGAAAGAAGAATACTGAGTAAGTTCTTTGTGTTGCCTCTATTCAACTCACAGAGGTGAACTGTCCTTTAGACAGAGCAGATGTGAAACCCTGTTTTTGTGATATTTGCAGGTGGAGATTTCAAGCGCTTTTAGGCCAAATGTAGAAAAGGAAATATCTTCATATAAAAACTAGACAGAATCATTCTCAGAAACTACTTTGTGATGTGTGCGTTCAATTCACAGAGTATAACCTTTCTTTTGATGGAGGAGTTTGGAGACACTGTCTTTGTAAAGTCTGCAAGTGGATATTTGGACCTCTTTGAGGCCTTCGTTGGAAACGGGATTTCCTCATATAATGTTACACAGAAGAATTCTCAGTAACTTATTTGTGGTGTGTGTATTCAACTCACAGAGTTGAACCTTCCTTCAGAAAGAGCAGATTTGAAACACTCTTTTTGTGGAGTTTCCATGTGGAGATTTCAAT
The DNA here is from genome assembly GCF_000001405.40 of Homo sapiens. Taxonomy (NCBI): domain Eukaryota; kingdom Metazoa; phylum Chordata; class Mammalia; order Primates; family Hominidae; genus Homo; species Homo sapiens. The sequence goes on from NC_000012.12 coordinate 37,114,541, forward strand.
CGCTTTGAGACCAAAGGTAGAAAAGGAAACATCTTCGTATAAAAACTAGACAGAATCATTCACAGAAACTACTTTGTGATGTGTGTGTTCAACTCAAGGAGTTTAACCATTCTTTTGATGGAGCAGTTTGGAAACACTCTGTCTGTAAAGTCTGCAAGCAGATATTTGGACCTCTTTGAGGCCTTCGTTGGAAACGGGATTTCTTCATATAATGTTAGATAGGAGAAGTCTCAGTAACTTCTTTGTGCTGTGTGTATTCAACTCATAGAGTTGAACTTTCCTTTAGAAGAGCAGATGTTAAACACCCTTTTTGTGGAATTTGCAGCTGGAGATTTCAAGCGCTTTGAGGCCTACGGTAGAAAAGGAAACATCTTCTTATAAAATCTAGACAGAATCATTCACAGAAACTTGTTTTTGATGTGTGTGTTCAGCTCACAGAGTTTAACCTTTCTTTTGATGGAGCAGTTTGGAAACACTCTGTTTGTAATATCTGCAAGTGAATATTTGGACCTCTTTGAGGCCTTCGTTGGAAACGGGATTTCTTCAAGTAATGTTCGACAGAAGAATTTTCAGTAACTTATTTGTGGTGTGTGTATTCAACTCACAGGGTTGAACCTTCCTTTAGACAGAGCAGATTTGAAACACCCTATTTGTGCAGTTTCCAGTTGGAGATTTCAATCGCTTTGAGACCAAATGTAGAAAAGGAAACATATTCGTATAAAAACTAGACAGAATCATTCTCAGAAACTACTTTGTGATGTGTGCGTTCAACTCAAGGAGTTTAAGCTTTCTTTTCATAGAGTAGTTTGGAAACACTCTGTAAAGTCTGCAAGCAGATATTTGGACCTCCTTGAGGCCTTCGTTGGAAACGGGATTTCTTCATAGAACGCTAGAAAGAAGAATACTGAGTAAGTTCTTTGTGTTGCCTCTATTCAACTCACAGAGGTGAACTGTCCTTTTGACAGAGCAGATCTGAAACCCTCTTTTTGTGATATTTGCAGGTGGAGATTTCAAGCGCTTTTAGGCCAAATGTAGAAAAGGAAATATCTTCGTATAAAAACTAGACAGAATCATTCTCAGAAACTACTTTGTGATGTGTGCGTTCAATTCACAGAGTATAACCTTTCTTTTGATGGAGGAGTTTGGAGACACTGTCTTTGTAAAGTCTGCAAGTGGATATTTGGACCTCTTTGAGGCCTTCGTTGGAAACGGGATTTCCTCATATAATGTTACACAGAAGAATTCTCAGTAACTTATTTGTGGTGTGTGTATTCAACTCACAGAGTTGAACCTTCCTTCAGAAAGAGCAGATTTGAAACACTCTTTTTGTGGAGTTTCCATGTGGAGATTTCAATCGCTTTGAGACCAAAGGTAGAAAAGGAAACATCTTCGTATAAAAACTAGACAGAATCATTCACAGAAACTACTTTGTGATGTGTGTGTTCAACTCAAGGAGTTTCACCTTTCTTTTGATGGAGCAGTTTGGAAACACTCTGTCTGTAAAGTCTGCAAGCAGATATTTGGACCTCTTTGAGGCCTTCGTTGGAAACGGGATTTCTTCATATAATGTTTGATAGGAGAAGTCTCAGTAACTTCTTTGTGCTGTGTGTATTCAACTCATAGAGTTGAACTTTCCTTTAGAAGAGCAGATGTTAAACACCCTTTTTGTGGAATTTGCAGCTGGAGATTTCAAGCGCTTTGAGGCCTACGGTAGAAAAGGAAACATCTTCTTATAAAATCTAGACAGAATCATTCACAGAAACTTCTTTTTGATGTGTGTGTTCAGCTCACAGAGTTTAACCTTTCTTTTGATGGAGCAGTTTGGAAACACTCTGTTTGTAATGTCTGCAAGTGGATATTTGGACCTCTGTGAGGCCTTCGTTGGAAACGGGATTTCTTCATGTAATGTTCGACAGAAGAATTCTCAGTAACTTATTTGTGGTGTGTGTATTCAACTCACAGAGTTGAACCTTCCTTTAGACAGAGCACATTTGAAATACTCTATTTGTGCAGTTTCCAGTTGGAGATTTCAATGGCTTTGAGGCCATTCGTAGAAACGGAAATACCTTCGTATAAAAACAAGACAGAATCATTCTCAGAAACTACTTTGTGATGTGTGCGGTTCAACTCAAGGAGTTTAAGCTTTCTTTTCATAGAGTAGTTTGGAAACACTCTGTCTGTAAAGTCTGCAAGCAGATATTTGGACCTATTTGAGGCCTTCGTTGGAAAAGGGATTTCTTCATAGAACGCTGGAAAGAAGAATACTGAGTAAGTTCTTTGTGTTGCCTCTATTCAACTCACAGAGGTGAACTGTCCTTTAGACAGAGCAGATGTGAAACCCTCTTTTTGTGATAGTTGCAGGTGGAGATTTCAAGCGCTTTTAGGCCAAATGTAGAAAAGGAAATATCTTCGTATAAAAACTAGACAGAATCATTCTCAGAAACTACTTTGTGATGTGTGCGTTCAATTCACAGAGTATAACCTTTCTTTTGATGGAGGAGTTTGGAGACACTGTCTTTGTAAAGTCTGCAAGTGGATATTTGGACCTCTTTGAGGCCTTCGTTGGAAACGGGATTTCCTCATATAATGTTACACAGAAGAATTCTCAGTAACTTATTTGTGGTGTGTGTATTCAACTCACAGAGTTGAACCTTCCTTCAGAAAGAGCAGATTTGAAACACTCTTTTTGTGGAGTTTCCATGTGGAGATTTCAATCGCTTTGAGACCAAAGGTAGAAAAGGAAACATCTTCTTATAAAAACTAGACAGAATCATTCACAGAAACTACTTTGTGATGTGTGTGTTCAACTCAAGGAGTTTAACCTTTCTTTTGATGGAGCAGTTTGGAAACACTCTGTCTGTAAAGTCTGCAAGCAGATATTTGGACCTCTTTGAGGCCTTCGTTGGAAACGGGATTTCTTCATATAATGTTTGATAGGAGAAGTCTCAGTAACTTCTTTGTGTTATGTGTAATCAACTCATAGAGTTGAACTTTCCTTTAGAAGAGCAGATGTTAAACACCCTTTTTGTGGAATTTGCAGCTGGAGATTTCAAGCGCTTTGAGGCCTACGGTAGAAAAGGAAACATCTTCTTATAAAATCTAGACAGAATCATTCACAGAAACTTCTTTTTGATGTGTGTGTTCAGCTCACAGAGTTTAACCTTTCTTTTGATGGAGCAGTTTGGAAACACTCTGTTTGTAATGTCTGCAAGTGGATATTTGGACCTCTTTGAGGCCTTCGTTGGAAACGGGATTTCTTCATGTAATGTTCGACAGAAGAATTCTCAGTAACTTATTTGTGGTGTGTGTATTCAACTCACAGAGTTGAACCTTCTTTAGACAGAGCAGATTTGATACACCCTATTTGTGCAGTTTCCAGGTGGAGATTTCAATCGCTTTGAGACCAAATGTAGAAAAGGAAACATCTTCGTATAAAAACTAGACAGAATCATTCTCAGAAACTACTTTGTGATGTGTGCGTTCAACTCAAGGAGTTTAAGCTTTCTTTTCATAGAGTAGTTTGGAAACACTCTGTCTGTAAAGTCTGCAAGCAGATATTTGGACCTCTTTGGGGCCTTCGTTGGAAACGGGATTTCTTCATAGAATGCTAGAAAGAAGAATACTGAGTAAGTTCTTTGTGTTGCCTCTATTCAACTCACAGAGGTGAACTGTCCTTTAGACAGAGCAGATGTGAAACCCTCTTTTTGTGATATTTGCAGGTGGAGATTTCAAGCGCTTTTAGGCCAAATGTAGAAAAGGAAATATCTTCGTATAAAAACTAGACAGAATCATTCTCAGAAACTACTTTGTGATGTGTGCGTTCAATTCACAGAGTATAACCTTTCTTTTGATGGAGGAGTTTGGAGACACAGTCTTTGTAAAGTCTGCAAGTGGATATTTGGACCTCTTTGAGGCCTTCGTTGGAAACGGGATTTCCTCATATAATGTTACACAGAAGAATTCTCAGTAACTTATTTGTGGTGTGTGTATTCAACTCACAGAGTTGAACCTTCCTTCAGAAGGAGCAGGTTTGAAACACTCTTTTTGTGGAGTTTCCATGTGGAGATTTCAATCGCTTTGAGACCAAAGGTAGAAAAGGAAACATCTTCGTATAAAAACCAGACAGAATCATTCACAGAAACTACTTTGTGATGTGTGTGTTCAACTCAAGGAGTTTATCCTTTCTTTTGATGGAGCAGTTTGGAAACACTCTGTCTGTAAAGTGTGCAAGCAGATATTTGGACCTCTTTGAGGCCTTCGTTGGAAACGGGATTTCTTCATATAATGTTTGATAGGAGAAGTCTCAGTAACTTCTTTGTACTGTGTGTATTCAACTCATAGAGTTGAACTTTCCTTTAGAAGAGCAGATGTTAAACACCCTTTTTGTGGAATTTGCAGCTGGAGATTTCAAGCGCTTTGAGGCCTACGGTAGAAAAGGAAACATCTTCTTATAAAATCTAGACAGAATCATTCACAGAAACTGCTTTTTGATGTGTGTGTTCAGCTCACAGAGTTTAACCTTTCTTTTGATGGAGCAGTTTGGAAACACTCTGTTTGTAATGTCTGCAAGTGGATATTTGGACCTCTTTGAGGCCTTCGTTGGAAACGGGATTTCTTCAAGTAATGTTCGACAGAAGAATTCTCAGTAACTTATTTGTGGTGTGTGTATTCAACTCACAGAGTTGAACCTTCCTTTAGACAGAGCAGATTTGAAACACCCTATTTGTGCAATTCCCAGTTGGAGATTTCAATCGCTTTGAGACCAAAGGTAGAAAAGGAAACATCTTCGTATAAAAACTAGACAGAATCATTCTCAGAAACTACTTTGTGATGTGTGCGTTCAACTCAAGGAGTTTAAGCTTTCTTTTCATAGAGTAGTTTGGAAACACTCTGTCTGTAAAGTGTGCAAGCAGATATTTGGACCTCTTTGGGGCCTTCGTTGGAAACCGGATTTCTTCATAGAACGCTAGAAAGAAGAATACTGAGTAAGTTCTTTGTGTTGCCTCTATTCAACTCACAGAGGTGAACTGTCCTTTAGACAGAGCAGATGTGAAACCCTCTTTTTGTGATATTTGCAGGTGGAGATTTCAAGCGCTTTTAGGCCAAATGTAGAAAAGGAAATATCTTCGTATAAAAACTAGACAGAATCATTCTCAGAAACTACTTTGTGATGTGTGCGTTCAATTCACAGAGTATAACCTTTCTTTTGATGGAGGAGTTTGGAGACACTGTCTTTGTAAAGTCTGCAAGTGGATATTTGGACCTCTTTGAGGCCTTCGTTGGAAACGGGATTTCCTCATATAATGTTACACAGAAGAATTCTCAGTAACTTATTTGTGGTGTGTTTATTCAACTCACAGAGGTGAACCTTCCTTCAGGAAGAGCAGATTTGAAACCCTCTTTTTGTGGAGTTTCCATGTGGAGATTTCAATCGCTTTGAGACCAAAGGTAGAAAAGGAAACATCTTCGTATAAAAACTAGACAGAATCATTCACAGAAACTACTTTGTGATGTGTGTGTTCAACTCAAGGAGTTTAACCTTTCTTTTGATGGAGCAGTTTGGAAACACTCTGTCTGTAAAGTCTGCAAGCAGATATTTGGACCTCTTTGAGGCCTTCGTTGGAAACGGGATTTCTTCATATAATGTTTGATAGGAGAAGTCTCAGTAACTTCTTTATGCTGTGTGTATTCAACTCATAGAGTTGAACTTTCCTTTAGAAGAGCAGATGTTAAACAGCCTTTTTGTGGAATTTGCAGCTGGAGATTTCAAGCGCTTTGAGGCCTACGGTAGAAAAGGAAACATCTTCTTATAAAATCTAGACAGAATCATTCACAGAAACTTCTTTTTGATGTGTGTGTTCAGCTCACAGAGTTTAACCTTTCTTTTGATGGAGCAGTTGGGAAACACACTGTTTGTAATGTCCGCAAGTGGATATTTGGACCTCTTTGAGGCCTTCGTTGGAAACGGGATTTCTTCAAGTAATGTTCGACAGAAGGATTCTCAGTAACTTATTTGTGGTGTGTGTATTCAACTCACAGAGTTGAACCTTCCTTTAGACAGAGCAGATTTAAAACAGCCTATTTGTGCAGTTTCCAGTTGGAGATTTCAAGAGCTTTGAGACCAAATGTAGAAAAGGAAACATCTTCGTATAAAAACTAGACAGAATCATTCTCAGAAACTACTTTGTGATGTGTGCGTTCAACTCAAGGAGTTTAAGCTTTCTTTTCATAGAGTAGTTTGGAAACACTCTGTCTGTAAAGTCTGCAAGCAGATATTTGGACCTCTTTGAGGCCTTCGTTGGAAACGGGATTTCTTCATAGAACGCTAGAAAGAAGAATACTGACTAAGTTCTTTGTGTTGCCTCTATTCAACTCACAGAGGTGAACTGTCCTTTAGACAGAGCAGATGTGAAAACCTCTTTTTGTGATATTTGCAGGTGGAGATTTCAAGCGCTTTTAGGCCAAATGTAGAAAAGGAAATATCTTCGTATAAAAACTAGACAGAATCATTCTCAGAAACTACTTTGTGATGTGTGCGTTCAATTCACAGAGTATAACCTTTCTTTTGATGGAGGAGTTTGGAGACACTGTCTTTGTAAAGTCTGCAAGTGGATATTTGGACCTCTTTGAGGCCTTCGTTGGAAACGGGATTTCCTCATATAATGTTACACAGAAGAATTCTCAGTAACTTATTTGTGGTGTGTGTATTCAACTCACAGAGTTGAACCTTCCTTCAGAAAGAACAGATTTGAAACCCTCTTTTTGTGGAGTTTCCATGTGGAGATTTCAATGGCTTTGAGACCAAACGTAGAAAAGGAAACATCTTCGTATGAAAACTAGACAGAATCATTCACAGAAACTACTTTGTGATGTGTGTGTTCAACTCAAGGAGTTTAACCTTTCTTTTGATGGAGCAGTTTGGAAACACTCTGTCTGTAAAGTCTGCAAGCAGATATTTGGACCTCTTTGAGGCCTTCGTTGGAAACGGGATTTCTTCATATAATGTTTGATAGGAGAAGTCTCAGTAACTTCTTTGTGCTGTGTGTATTCAACTCATAGAGTTGAACTTTCCTTTAGAAGAGCAGATGTTAAACACCCTTTTTGTGGAATTTGCAGCTGGAGATTTCAAGCGCTTTGAGGCCTACGGTAGAAAAGGAAACATCTTCTTATAAAATCTAGACAGAATCATTCACAGAAACTTCTTTTTGATGTGTGTGTTCAGCTCACAGTGTTTAACCTTTCTTTTGTTGGAGCAGTTTGGAAACACACTGTTTGTAATGTCTGCAAGTGGATATTTGGACCTCTTTGAGGTCTTCGTTGGAAACGGGATTTCTTCATGTAATGTTCGACAGAAGAATACTCAGTAACTTATTTGTGGTGTGTGTATTCAACTCACAGAGTTGAACCTTCCTTTAGACAGAGCAGATTTGAAACACCCTATTTGTGCAGTTTCCAGTTGGAGATTTCAATCGCTTTGAGACCAAATGTAGAAAAGGAAACATCTTCGTATAAAAACTAGACAGCATCATTCTCAGAAACTACTTTGTGATGTGTGCGTTCAACTCAAGGAGTTTAAGCTTTCTTTTCATAGAGTAGTTTGGAAACACTCTGTCTGTAAAGTCTGCAAGCAGATATTTGGACCTCTTTGAGGCCTTCGTTGGAAACGGGATTTCTTCATATAACGCTAGAAAGAAGAATACTGAGTAAGTTCTTTGTGTTGCCTCTATTCAACTCACAGAGGTGAACTGTCCTTTAGACAGAGCAGATGTGAAACCCTCTTTTTGTGATATTTGCAGGTGGAGATTTCAAGCACTTTTAGGCCAAATGTAGAAAAGGAAATATCTTCGTATAAAAACTAGACAGAATCATTCTCAGAAACTACTTTGTGATGTGTGCGTTCAATTCACAGAGTATAACCTTTCTTTTGATGGAGGAGTTTGGAGACACTGTCTTTGTAAAGTCTGCAAGTGGATATTTGGACCTCTTTGAGGCCTTCGTTGGAAACGGGATTTCCTCATATAATGTTACACAGAAGAATTCTCAGTAACTTATTTGTGGTGTGTGTATTCAACTCACAGAGTTGAACCTTCCTTCAGAAAGAGCAGATTTGAAACACTCTTTTTGTGGAGTTTCCATGTGGAGATTTCAATCGCTTTGAGACCAAAGGTAGAAAAGGAAACATCTTCGTATAAAAACTGGACAGAATCATTCACAGAAACTACTTTGTGATGTGTGTGTTCAACTCAAGGAGGTTAACCTTTGTTTTGATGGAGCAGTTTGGAAACACTCTGTCTGTAAAGTCTTCAAGCAGATATTTGGACCTCTTTGAGGCCTTCATTGGAAACGGGATTTCTTCATATAATGCTAGAAAGAAGAATACTGAGTAAATTCTTTGTGTTGCCTCTATTCAACTCACAGAGGTGAACTGTCCTTTAGACAGAGCAGATGTGAAACCCTCTTTTTGTGATATTTGCAGGTGGAGATTTCAAGCGCTTTTAGGCCAAATGTAGAAAAGGAAATATCTTCGTATAAAAACTAGACAGAATCATTCTCAGAAACTACTTTGTGATGTGTGCGTTCAATTCACAGAGTATAACCTTTCTTTTGATGGAGGAGTTTGGAGACACTGTCTTTGTAAAGTCTGCAAGTGGATATTTGGACCTCTTGCAGGCCTTCGTTGGAAACGGGATTTCCTCATATAATGTTACACAGAAGAATTCTCAGTAACTTATTTGTGGTGTGTGTATTCAACTCACAGAGTTGAACCTTCCTTCAGAAAGAGCAGATTTGAAACACTCTTTTTGTGGAGTTTCCATGTGGAGATTTCAATCGCATTGAGACCAAAGGTAGAAAAGGAAACATCTTCGTATAAAAACTAGACAGAATCATTCACAGAAACTACTTTGTGATGTGTGTGTTCAGCTCACAGAGTTTAACCTTTCTTTTGATGGTGCAGTTTGGAAACACTCTGACAAGTCTGCAAGGGGATATTTGGACCTCTTTGAGGCCTTCCTGGAAACGGGATTTCTTCATATAATGTTAGACAGAAGAAGTCTCAGTAACTTCTTTGTACTTTGTGTATTCAACTCACAGAGCTGAACTTTACTTTAGACAGAGCAGATGTTAAACACACTTTTTGTGGAATTTGCAGCTGGAGATTTCTAGCGCTTTGAGGCCTATGGTAGAAAAGGAAACATCTTCTTATAAAATCTAGACAGAATCATTCACAGAAACTTCTTTTCGATGTGTGTGTTCAGCTCACAGAGTTTAACCTTTCTTTTGATGGAGCAGTTTGGAAACACTCTGTTTGTAATGTCTGCAAGTGGATATTTGGACCTCTTTGAGGCCTTCGTTGGAAACGGGATTTCTTCAAGTAATGTTCGACAGAAGAATTCTCAGTAACTTATTTATGGTGTGTGTATTCAACTCACAGAGTTGAACCTTCCTTTAGACAGAGCAGATTTGAAACACCCTATTTGTGCAGTTTCCAGTTGGAGATTTCAATCGCTTTGAGACCAAATGTAGAAAAGGAAACATCTTCGTATAAAAACTAGACAGAATCATTCTCAGAAACTACTTTGTGATGTGTGCGTTCAACTCAAGGAGTTTAAGCTTTCTTTTCATAGAGTAGTTTGGAAACACTCTGTCTGTAAAGTCTGCAAGCAGATATTTGGACCTCATTGGGGCCTTCGTTGGAAACGGGATTTCTTCATAGAACGCCAGAAAGATGAATACTGAGTAAGTTCTTTGTGTTGCCTCTATTCAACTCACAGAGGTGAACTGTCCTTTAGACAGAGCAGATGTGAAACCCTCTTTTTGTGATATTTGCAGGTGGAGATTTCAGGCACTTTTAGGCCAAATGTAGAAAAGGAAACATCTTCGTATAAAAACTAGACAGAATAATTCTCAGAAACTACTTTGTGATGTGTGCGTTCAATTCACAGAGTATAACCTTTCTTTTGATGGAGGAGTTTGGAGACAATGTCTTTGTAAAGTCTGCAAGTGGATATTTGGACCTCTTTGAGGCCATCGTTGGAAACGGGATTTCCTCATATAATGTTACACAGAAGAATTCTCAGTAACTTATTTGTGGTGTGTGTATTCAACTCACAGAGTTGAACCTTCCTTCAGAAAGAGCAGATTTGAAACACTCCTTTTGTGGAGTTTCCATGTGGAGATTTCAATCGCTTTGAGACCAAAGGTAGAAAAGGAAACATCTTCATATAAAAACTAGACAGAATCATTCACAGAAACTACTTTGTGATGTGTGTGTTCAACTCAAGGAGTTTAACCTTTCTTTTGATGGAGCAGTTTGGAAAAACTCTGTCTGTAAAGTTTGCAAGCAGATATTTGGACCTCTTTGAGGCCTTCGTTGAAAACGGGATATCTTCATATAATGTTTGATAGGAGAAGTCTCAGTAACTTCTTTGTGCTGTGTGTATTCAACTCATAGAGTTGAACTTTCCTTTAGAAGAACAGATGTTAAACACCCTTTTTGTGGAATTTGCAGCTGGAGATTTCAAGCGCTTTGAGGCCTACGGTAGAAAAGGAAACATCTTCTTATAAAATCTAGACAGAATCATTCACAGAAACTTCTTTTTGATGTGTGTGTTCAGCTCACAGAGTTTAACCTTTCTTTTGATGGAGCAGTTTGGAAACACTCTGTTTGTAATGTCTGCAAGTGGATATTTGCACCTCTTTGAGGCCTTCGTTGGAAACGGGATTTCTTCAAGTAATGTTCGACAGAAGAATTCTCAGTAACTTATTTGTGGTGTGTGTATTCAACTCACAGAGTTGAACCTTCCTTTAGACAGAGCAGATTTGAAACACCCTATTTGTGCAGTTTCCAGTTGGAGATTTCAATCGCTTTGAGACCAAATGTAGAAAAGGAAACATCTTCGTATAAAAACTAGACAGAATCATTCTCAGAAACTACTTTGTGATGTGTGCGTTCAACTCAAGGAGTTTAAGCTTTCTTTTCATAGAGTAGTTTGGAAACACTCTGTCTGTAAAGTCTGCAAGCAGATATTTGGACCTCTTTGGGGCCTTCGTTGGAAACGGGATTTCTTCATAGAACGCTAGAAAGAAGAATACTCAGTAACTTCTTTGTGCTGCCTCTATTCAACTCACAGAGGTGAACTGTCCTTTAGACAGAGCAGATGTGAAATCCTGTTTTTGTGATATTTGCAGGTGGAGATTTCAAGCGCTTTTAGGCCAAATGTAGAAAAGGAAATATCTTCGTATAAAAACTAGACAGAATCATTCTCAGAAACTACTTTGTGATGTGTGCGTTCAATTCACAGAGTATAACCTTTCTTTTGATGGACGAGTTTGGAGACACTGTCTTTGTAAAGTCTGCAAGTGGATATTTGGACCTCTTTGAGGCCTTCTTTGGAAACGGGATTTCCTCATATAATGTTACACAGAAGAATTGTCAGTAACTTATTTGTGGTGTGTGTATTCAACTCACAGAGTTGAACCTTCCTTCAGAAAGAGCAGATTTGAAACACTCTTTTTTGTGGAGTTTCCATGTGGAGATTTCAATCGCTTTGAGACCAAAGGTAGAAAAGGAAACATCTTCGTATAAAAACTAGACAGAATCATTCACAGAAACTACTTTGTGATGTGTGTGTTCAACTCAAGGAGTTTAACCTTTCTTTTGATGGAGCAGTTTGGAAACACACTGTCTGTAAAGTCTGCAAACAGATATTTGGACCTCTTTGAGGCCTTCGTTGGAAACGGGATTTCTTCATATAATGTTTGATAGGAGAAGTCTCAGTAACTTCTTTGTGCTGTGTGTATTCAACTCATAGATTTGAACTTTCCTTTAGAAGAGCAGATGTTAAACACCCTTTTTGTGGAATTTGCAGCTGGAGATTTCAAGCGCTTTGAGGCCTACGGTAGAAAAGGAAACGTCTTCTTATAAAATCTAGACAGAATCATTCACAGAAGCTTCTTTTTGATGTGTGTGTTCAGCTCACAGAGTTTAACCTTTCTTTTGATGGAGCAGTTTGGAAACACTCTGTTTGTAATGTCTGCAAGTGGATATTTGGACCTCTTTGAGGCCTTCGTTGGAAACGGGATTTCTTCATGTAATGTTCGACAGAAGAATTCTCAGTAACTTATTTGTGGTGTGTGTATTCAACTCACAGAGTTGAACCTTCCTTCAGAAAGAGTAGATTTGAAACACTCTTTTTGTGAAGTTTCCATGTGGAGATTTCAATCGCTTTGAGACCAAAGGTAGAATAGGAACCATCTTCGTATAAAAACTAGACAGAATCATTCTCCGAAACTACTTTGTGATGTGTGCGTTCAACTCAAGGAGTTTAAGCTTTCTTTTCATAGAGTAGTTTGGAAACACTCTGTCTGTAAAGTCTGCAAGCAGATATTTGGACCTCTTTGGGGCCTTCGTTGGAAACGGGATTTCTTCATAGAACGCTAGAAAGAAGAATACTGAGTAAGTTCTTTGTGTTGCCTCTATTCAACTCACAGAGGTGAACTGTCCTTTAGACAGAGCAGATGTGAAACCTTCTTTTTGTGATATTTGCAGGTGGAGATTTCAAGCGCTTTTAGGCCAAATGTAGAAAAGGAAATATCTTCGTATAAAAACTAGACAGAATCATTCTCAGAAACTACTTTGTGATGTGTGCGTTCAATTCACAGAGTATAACCTTTCTTTTGATGGAGGAGTTTGGAGACACTGTCTTTGTAAAGTCTGCAAGTGGATATTTGGACCTCTTTGAGGCCTTCGTTGGAAACGGGATTTCCTCATATAATGTTACACAGAAGAATTCTCAGTAACTTATTTGTGGTGTGTGTATTCAACTCACAGAGTTGAACCTTCCTTCAGAAAGAGCAGATTTGAAACACTCTTTTTGTGGAGTTTCCATGTGGAGATTTCAATCGCTTTGAGACCAAAGGTAGAAAAGGAAACATCTTCGTATAAAAACTAGACAGAATCATTCACAGAAACTACTTTGTGATGTGTGTGTTCAACTCAAGGAGTTTAACCTTTCTTTTGATGGAGCAGTTTGGAAACACTCTGTCTGTAAAGTCTGCAAGCAGATATTTGGACCTCTTTGAGGCCTTCGTTGGAAACGGGATTTCTTCATATAATGTTTGATAGGAGAAGTCTCAGTAACTTCTTTGTGCTGTGTGTATTCAACGCATGGAGTTGAACTTTCCTTTAGAAGAGCAGATGTTAAACACCCTTTTTGTGGAATTTGCAGCTGGAGATTTCAAGCGCTTTGAGGCCTACCGTAGAAAAGGAAACATCTTCTTCTACAGTCTATACAGAATCATTCACAGAAACTTCTTTTTGATGTGTGTGTTCAGCTCACAGAGTTTAACCTTTCTTTTGATGGAGCAGTTGGGAAACACACTGTTTGTAATGTCCGCAAGTGGATATTTGGACCTCTTTGAGGCCTTCATTGGAAACGGGATTTCTTCCTGTAATGTTCGACAGAAGAATTCTCAGTAACTTATTTGTGGTGTGTGTATTCAACTCACAGAGTTGAACCTTCCTTTAGACAGAGCAGATTTGAAACAGCCTATTTGTGCAGTTTCCAGTTGGAGATTTCAATCGCTTTGAGACCAAATGTAGAAAAGGAAACATCTTCGTATAAAAACTAGACAGAATCATTCTCAGAAACTACTTTGTGATGTGTGCGTTCAACTCAAGGAGTTTAAGCTTTCTTTTCATAGAGTAGTTTGGAAACACTCTGTCTGTAAAGTCTGCAAGCAGATATTTGGACCTCTTTGGGGCCTTCGTTGGAAACGGGATTTCTTCATAGAACGCTAGAAAGAAGAATACTGAGTAAGTTCTTTGTGTTGCCTCTATTCAACTCACAGAGGTGAACTGTCCTTTAGACAGAGCAGATGTGAAACCCTCTTTTTGTGATATTTGCAGGTGGAGATTTCAAGCGCTTTTAGTCCAAATGTAGAAAAGGAAATATCTTCGTATAAAAACTAGACAGAATCATTCTCAGAAACTACTTTGTGATGTGTGCGTTCAATTCACAGAGTATAACCTTTCTTTTGATGGTGGAGTTTGGAGACACTGTCTTTGTAAGTCTGCAAGTGGATATTTGGACCTCTTTGAGGCCTTCGTTGGAAACGGGATTTCCTCATATAATGTTACACAGAAGAATTCTCAGTAACTTATTAGTGGTGTGTGTATTCAACTCACAGAGTTGAACCTTCCTTCAGAAAGAGCAGATTTGAAACACTCTTTTTGTGGAGTTTCCATGTGGAGATTTCAATCGCATTGAGACCAAAGGTAGAAAAGGAAACATCTTCGTATAAAAACTAGACAGAATCATTCACAGAAACTACTTTGTGATGTGTGTGTTCAACTCAAGGAGTTTAACCTTTCTTTTGATGGAGCAGTTTGGAAAAACTCTGTCTGTAAAGTCTGCAAGCAGATATTTGGACCTCTTTGAGGCCTTCGTTGGAAACGGGATTTCTTCATATAATGTTTGATAGGAGAAGTCTCAGTAACTTCTTTGTGCTGTGTGTATTCAACTCATAGAGTTGAACTTTCCTTTAGAAGAGCAGATGTTAAACACCCTTTTTGTGGAATTTGCAGCTGGAGATTTCAAGCGCTTTGAGGCCTACGGTAGAAAAGGAAACATCTTCTTCTAAAATCTAGACAGAATCATTCACAGAAACTTCTTTTTGATGTGTGTGTTCAGCTCACAGAGTTTAACCTTTCCTTTGATGGAGAAGTTTGGAAACACTCTGTTTGTAATGTCTGCAAGTGGATATTTGGACCTCTTTGAGGTCTTTGTTGGAAACGGGATTTCTTCAAGTAATGTTCGACAGAAGAATTCTCAGTAACTTATTTGTGGTGTGTGTATTCAACTCACAGAGTTGAACCTTCCTTTAGACAGAGCAGATTTGAAACACCCTATTTGTGCAGTTTCCAGTTGGAGATTTCAATCGCTTTGAGACCAAATGTAGAAAAGGAAACATCTTCGTATAAAAACTAGACAGAATCATTCTCAGAAACTACTTTGTGATGTGTGCGTTCAACTCAAGGAGTTTAAGCTTTCTTTTCATAGAGTAGTTTGGAAACACTCTGTCTGTAAAGTCTGCAAGCAGATATTTGGACCTCTTTGGGGCCTTCGTTGGAAACGGGATTTCTTCATAGAACGCTAGAAAGAAGAATACTGAGTAAGTTCTTTGTGTTGCCTCTATTCAACTCACAGAGGTGAACTGTCCTTTAGACAGAGCAGATGTGAAACCCTCTTTTTGTGATATTTGCACGTGGAGATTTCAAGCGCTTTTAGGCCAAATGTAGAAAAGGAAATATCTTCGTATAAAAACTAGACAGAATCATTCTCAGAAACTACTTTGTGATGTGTGCGTTCAATTCACAGAGTATAACCTTTCTTTTGATGGAGGAGTTTGGAGACACTGTCTTTGTAAAGTCTGCAAGTGGATATTTGGACCTCTTTGAGGCCTTCGTTGGAAACGGGATTTCCTCATATAATGTTACACAGAAGAATTCTCAGTAACTTATTTGTGCTGTGTGTACTCAACTCACAGAGTTGAACCTTCCTTCAGAAAGAGCAGATTTGAGACACTCTTTTTGTGGAGTTTCCATGTGGAGATTTCAATGGCTTTGAGACCAAAGGTAGAAAAGGAAACATCTTCGTATAAAAACTAGACAGAATCATTCACAGAAACTACTTTGTGATGTGTGTGTTCAACTCAAGGAGTTTAAACTTCCTTTTGATGGAGCAGTTTGGAAACACTCTGTCTGTAAAGTCTGCAAGCAGATATTTGGACCCCTTTGAGGCCTTCGTTGGAAACGGGATTTCTTCATATAATGTTTGATAGGAGAAGTCTCAGTAACTTCTTTGTGCTGTGTGTATTCAACTCATAGAGTTGAACTTTCCTTTAGAAGAGCTGATGTTAAACACCCTTTTTGTGGAATTTGCAGCTGGAGATTTCAAGCGCTTTGAGGCCTACGGTAGAAAAGGAAACATCTTCTTATAAAATCTAGACAGAATCATTCACAGAAACTTCTTTTTGATGTGTGTGTTCAGCTCACAGAGTTTAACCTTTCTTTTGATGGAGCAGTTTGGAAACACTCTGTTTGTAATGTCTGCAAGTGGATATTTGGACCTCTTTGAGGCCTTCGTTGGAAACGGGATTTCTTCAAGTAATGTTCGACAGAAGAATTCTCAGTAACTTATTTGTGGTGTGTGTATTCAACTCACAGAGTTGAACCTTCCTTTAGACAGAGCAGATTTGAAACACCCTATTTGTGCAGTTTCCAGTTGGAGATTTCAATCGCTTTGAGACCAAATGTAGAAAAGGAAACATCTTCGTATAAAAACTAGACAGAATCATTCTCAGAAACTACTTTGTGATGTGTGCGTTCAACTCAAGGAGTTTAAGCTTTCTTTTCATAGAGTAGTTTGGAAACACTCTGTCTGTAAAGTCTGCAAGCAGATATTTGGACCTCTTTGGGGCCTTCGTTGGAAACGGGATTTCTTCATAGAACGCTAGAAAGAAGAATACTGAGTAAGTTCTTTGTGTTGCCTCTATTCAACTCACAGAGGTGAACTGTCCTTTAGACAGAGCAGATGTGAAACCCTCTTTTTGTGATATTTGCAGGTGGAGATTTCAAGCGCTTTTAGGCCAAATGTAGAAAAGGAAATATCTTCTTATAAAAACTAGACAGAATCATTCACAGAAACTTCTTTTTGATGTGTGTGTTCAGCTCACAGAGTTTAACCTTTCTTTTGATGGAGGAGTTTGGAGACACTGTCTTTGTAAAGTCTGTAAGTGGATATTTGGACCTCTTTGAGGACTTCGTTGGAAACGGGATTTCCTCATATAATGTTACACAGAAGAATTCTCAGTAACTTATTTGTGGTGTGTGTATTCAACTCACAGAGTTGAACCATCCTTCACAAAGAGCAGATTTGAAACACTCTTTTTGTGGAGTTTCCATGTGGAGATTTCAATCGCTTTGAGACCAAAGGTAGAAAAGGAAACATCTTCGTATAAAAACTAGACAGAATCATTCACAGAAACTACTTTGTGATGTGTGTGTTCAACTCAAGGAGGTTAACCTTTCTTTTGATGGAGCAGTTTGCAAACACTCTGTCTGTAAAGTCTGCAAGCAGATATTTGGACCTCTTTGAGGCCTTCGTTGGAAACGGGATTTCTTCATCTAATGTTTGATAGGAGAAGTCTCAGTAACTTCTTTGTGCTGTGTGTATTCAACTCATAGAGTTGAACTTTCCTTTAGAAGAGCAGATCTTAAACACCCTTTTTGTGGAATTTGCAGCTGGAGATTTCAAGCGCTTTGAGGCCTACGGTAGAAAAGGAAACATCTTCTTATAAAATCTAGACAGAATCATTCACAGAAACTTCTTTTTGATGTGTGTGTTCAGCTCACAGAGTTTAACCTTTCTTTTGATGGAGCAGTTGGGAAACACACTGTTTGTAATGTCTGCAAGTGGATATTTGGACCTCTTTGAGGCCTTCGTTGGAAACGGGATTTCTTCATGTAATGTTCGACAGAAGAATTCTCAGTAACTTATTTATGGTGTGTGTATTCAACTCACAGAGTTGAACCTTCCTTTAGACAGAGCAGATTTGAAACACCCTATTTGTGCAGTTTCCAGTTGGAGATTTCAATCGCTTTGAGACCAAATGTAGAAAAGGAAACATCTTCGTACAAAAACTAGACAGCATCATTCTCAGAAACTACTTTGTGATGTGTGCGTTCAACTCAAGGAGTTTAAGCTTTCTTTTCATAGAGTAGTTTGGAAACACTCTGTCTGTAAAGTCTGCAAGCAGATATTTGGACCTCATTGGGGTCGTCGTTGGAAACGGGATTTCTTCATAGAACGCTAGAAAGAAGAATACTGAGTAAGTTCTTTGTGTTGCCTCTATTCAACTCACAGAGGTGAACTGTCCTTTAGACAGAGCAGATGTGAAAACCTCTTTTTGTGATATTTGCAGGTGGAGATTTCAAGCGCTTTTAGGCCAAATGTAGAAAAGGAAATATCTTCGTATAAAAACTAGACAGAATCATTCTCAGAAACTACTTTGTGACGTGAGCGTTCAATTCACAGGGTATAACCTTTGTTTTGATGGAGGAGTTTGGAGACACTGTCTTTGTAAAGTCTGCAAGTGGATATTTGGACCTCTTTGAAGCCTTCGTTGGAAACGGGTTTTCCTCACATAATGTTACACAGATGAATTCTCAGTAACTTACTTGTGCTGTGTGTATTCATCTCAAAGAGTTGAACCTTCCTTCAGAAAGAGCAGATTTGAAACACTCTTTTTGTGGAGTTTCCATGTGGAGATTTCAATCGCTTTCAGACCAATGGTAGAAAAGGAAACATCTTCATATAAAAACTAGACAGAATCATTCACAGAAACTACTTTGTGATGTGTGTGTTCAACTCAAGGAGTTTAACCTTTCTTTTGATGGAGCAGTTTGGAAACACTCTGTCTGTAAAGTCTGCAAGCAGATATTTGGACCTCTTTGAGGCCTTCGTTGGAAACGGGATTTCTTCATATAATGTTTGATAGGAGAAGTCTCAGTAACTTCTTTGTGCTGTGTGTATTCAACTCATAGAGTTGAACTTTCCTTTAGAAGAGCAGATGTTAAACACCCTTTTTGTGGAATTTGCAGCTGGAGATTTCAAGCGCTTTGAGGCCTACGGTAGAAAAGGAAACATCTTCTTATAAAATCTAGACAGAATCATTCACAGAAACTTCTTTTTGATGTGTGTGTTCAGCTCACAGAGTTTAACCTTTCTTTTGATGGAGCAGTTTGGAAACACTCTGTTTGTAATGTCTGCAAGTGGATATTTGGACCTCTTTGAGGCCTTCTTTGGAAACGGGATTTCTTCAAGTAATGTTCGACAGAAGAATTCTCAGTAACTTATTTGTGGTGTGTGTATTCAACTCACAGAGTTGAACCTTCGTTTAGACAGAGCGGATTTGAAACACCCTATTTGTGCAGTTTCCAGTTGGAGATTTCAATCGCTTTGAGGCCAATCATAGAAACGGAAATAACTTTGTATAAAAACAAGACAGAATCATTCTCAGAAACTACTTTGTGATGTGTGCGTTCAACTTAAGGATTTTAAGCTTTCTTTTAATAGAGTAGTTTGGAAACACTCTGTCTGTAAAGTCTGCAAGCAGATATTTGGACCTCTTTGAGGCCTTCGTTGGAAACGGGATTTCTTCATAGAACGCTAGAAAGAAGAATACTGAGTAAGTTCTTTGTGTTGCCTCTATTCAACTCACACAGGTGAACTGTCCTTTAGACAGAGCAGATGTGAAACCCTCTTTTTGTGATATTTGCAGGTGGAGATTTCAAGCGCTTTTAGGCCAAATGTAGAAAAGGAAATATCTTCGTATAAAAACTAGACAGAATCATTCTCAGCAAACTACTTTGTGATGTGTGCGTTCAATTCACAGCAGTATAACCTTTCTTTTGATGGAGGAGTTTGGAGACACTGTCTTTGTAAAGTCTGCAAGTGGATATTTGGACCTCTTTGAGGCCTTCGTTGGAAACGGGATTTCCTCATATAATGTTACACAGAAGAATTCTCAGTAACTCATTTGTGGTGTGTGTATTCAACTCACAGAGTTGAACCTTCCTTCAGAAAGAGCAGATTTGAAACACTCTTTTTGTGGAGTTTCCATGTGGAGATTTCAATCGCTTTGAGACCAAAGGTAGAAAAGGAAACATCTTCGTATAAAAACTAGACAGAATCATTCACAGAAACTACTTTGTGATGTGTGTGTTCAACTCAAGGAGTTTAACCTTTCTTTTGATGGAGCAGTTTGGAAACACTCTGTCTGTAAAGTCTGCAAGCAGATATTTGGACCTCTTTGAGGCCTTCGTTGGAAACGGGATTTCTTCATATAATGTTTGATAGGAGAAGTCTCAGTAACTTCTTTGTGATGTGTGTATTCAACGCATAGAGTTGAACTTTCCTTTAGAAGAGCAGATGTTAAACACCCTTTTTGTGGAATTTGCAGCTGGAGATTACAAGCGCTTTGAGGCCTACGGTAGAAAAGGAAACATCTTCTTATAAAATCTAGACAGAATCATTCACAGAAACTTCTTTTCGATGTGTGTGTTCAGCTCACAGAGTTTAACCTTTCTTTTGATGGAGCAGTTAGGAAACACTCTGTTTGTAATGTCTGCAAGTGGATATTTGGACCTCTTTGAGGCCTTCGTTGGAAACGGGATTTCTTCAAGTAATGTTCGACAGAAGAATTCTCAGTAACTTATTTGTGGTGTGTGTATTCAACTCACAGAGTTGAACCTTCCTTTAGACAGAGCAGATTTGAAACACCCTATTTGTGCACTTTCCAGTTGGAGATTTCAATCGCTTTGAGACCAAATGTAGAAAAGGAAACATCTTCGTATAAAAACTAGACAGAATCATTCTCAGAAACTACTTTGTGATGTGTGCGTTCAACTCAAGGAGTTTAAGCTTTCTTTTCATAGAGTAGTTTGGAAACACTCTGTCTGTAAAGTCTGCAAGCAGATATTTGGACCTCATTGGGGTCGTCGTTGGAAACGGGATTTCTTCATAGAACGCTAGAAAGAAGAATACTGAGTAAGTTCTTTGTGTTGCCTCTATTCAACTCACAGAGGTGAACTGTCCTTTAGACAGAGCAGATGTGAAACCCTCTTTTTGTGATATTTGCAGGTGGAGATTTCAAGCGCTTTTAGGCCAAATGTAGAAAAGGAAATATCTTCGTATAAAAACTAGACAGAATCATTCTCAGAAACTACTTTGTGATGTGTGCGTTCAATTCACAGAGTATAACCTTTCTTTTGATGTAGGAGTTTGGAGACACTGTCTTTGTAAAGTCTGCAAGTGGATATTTGGACCTCTTTGAGGCCTTCGTTGGAAACGGGATTTCCTCATATAATGTTACACAGAAGAATTCTCAGTAACTTATTTGTGGTGTGTGTATTCAACTCACAGAGTTGAACCTTCCTTCAGAAAGAGCAGATTTGAAACACTCTTTTTGTGGAGTTTCCATGTGGAGATTTCAATCGCTTTGAGACCAAAGGTAGAAAAGGAAACATCTTCGTATAAAAACTAGACAGAAATCATTCACAGAAACTACTTTGTGATGTGTGTGTTCAACTCAAGGAGTTTAACCTTTCTTTTGATGGAGCAGTTTGGAAACACTCTGTCTGTAAAGTCTGCAAGCAGATATTTGGACCTCTTTGAGGCCTTCGTTGGAAACGGGATTTCTTCATATAATGTTTGATAGGAGAAGTCTCAGTAACTTCTTTGTGCTGTGTGTATTCAACTCATAGAGTTGAACTTTCCTTTAGAAGAGCAGATGTTAAACACCCTTTTTGTGGAATTTGCAGCTGGAGATTTCAAGCGCTTTGAGGCCTACGGTAGAAAAGGAAACATCTTCTTAGAAAATCTAGACAGAATCATTCACAGAAACTTCTTTTTGATGTGTGTGTTCAGCTCACAGAGTTTAACCTTTCTTTTGATGGAGCAGGTTGGAAACAATCTGTTTGTAATGTCTGCAAGTGGATATTTGGACCTCTTTGAGGCCTTCGTTGGAAACGGGATTTCTTCAAGTAATGTTCGACAGAAGAATTCTCAGTAACTTATTTGTGGTGTGTGTATTCAACTCACAGAGTTGAACCTTCCTTTAGACAGAGCAGATTTGAAACACCCTATTTGTGCAGTTTCCAGTTGGAGATTTCAATCGCTTTGAGACCAAATGTAGAAAAGGAAACATCTTCGTATAAAAACTAGACAGAATCATTCTCAGAAACTACTTTGTGATGTGTGCGTTCAACTCAAGGAGTTTAAGCTTTCTTTTCATAGAGTAGTTTGGAAACACTCTGTCTGTAAAGTCTGCAAGCAGATATTTGGACCTCTTTGGGGCCTTCGTTGGAAACGGGATTTCTTCATAGAACGCTAGAAAGAAGAATACTGAGTAAGTTCTTTGTGTTGCCTCTATTCAACTCACAGAGGTGAACTGTCCTTTAGACAGAGCAGATGTGAAACCCTCTTTTTGTGATATTTGCAGGTGGAGATTTCAAGCGCTTTTAGGCCAAATGTAGAAAAGGAAATATCTTCGTATAAAAACTAGACAGAATCATTCTCAGAAACTACTTTGTGATGTGTGCGTTCAATTCACAGAGTATAACCTTTCTTTTGATGGAGGAGTTTGGAGACACTGTCTTTGTAAAGTCTGCAAGTGGATATTTGGACCTCTTTGAGGCCTTCGTTGGAAACGGGATTTCCTCATATAATGTTACACAGAAGAATTCTCAGTAACTTATTTGTGGTGTGTGTATTCAACTCACAGAGATGAACCTTCCTTCAGAAAGAGCAGATTTGAAACACTCTTTTTGTGGAGTTTCCATGTGGAGATTTCAATCGCTTTGAGACCAAAGGTAGAAAAGGAAACATCTTCGTATAACAACTAGACAGAATCATTCACAGAAACTATTTTGTGATGTGTGTGTTCAACTCAAGGAGTTTAACCTTTCTTTTGATGGAGCAGTTTGGAAAAACTCTGTCTGTAAAGTCTGCAAGCAGATATTTGGACCTCTTTGAGGCCTTCGTTGGAAACGGGATTTCTTCATATAATGTTTGATAGGAGAAGTCTCAGTAACTTCTTTGTGCTGTGTGTATTCAACTCATAGAGTTGAACTTTCCTTTAGAAGAGCAGATGTTAAACACCCTTTTTGTGGAATTTGCAGCTGGAGATTTCAAGCGCTTTGAGGCCTACGGTAGAAAAGGAAACATCTTCTTATAAAATCTAGACAGAATCATTCACAGAAACTTCTTTTTGATGTGTGTGTTCAGCTCACAGAGTTTAACCTTTCTTTTGATGGAGCAGTTTGGAAACACTCTGTTTGTAATGTCTGCAAGTGGATATTTGGACCTCTTTGAGGCCTTAGTTGGAAACGGGATTTCTTCCTGTAATGTTCGACAGAAGAATTCTCAGTAACTTATTTGTGGTGTGTGTATTCAACTCACAGAGTTGAACCTTCCTTTAGACAGAGCAGATTTGAAACACCCTATTTGTGCAGTTTCCAGTTGGAGATTTCAATCGCTTTGAGACCAAATGTAGAAAAGGAAACATCTTCGTATAAAAACTAGACAGAATCATTCTCAGAAACTACTTTGTGATGTGTGCGTTCAACTCAAGGAGTTTAAGCTTTCTTTTCATAGAGTAGTTTGGAAACACTCTGTCTGTAAAGTCTGCAAGCAGATATTTGGACCTCTTTGAGGCCTTCGTTGGAAACGGGATTTCTTCATAGAACGCTAGAAAGAAGAATACTGAGTACGTTCTTTGTGTTGCCTCTATTCAACTCACAGAGGTGAACTGTCCTTTAGACAGAGCAGATGTGAAACCCTCTTTTTGTGATATTTGCAGGTGGAGATTTCAAGCGCTTTTAGGCCAAATGTAGAAAAGGAAATATCTTCGTATAAAAACTAGACAGAATCATTCTCAGAAACTACTTTGTGATGTGTGCGTTCAATTCACAGAGTATAACCTTTCTTTTGATGGAGGAGTTTGGAGACACTGTCTTTGTAAAGTCTGCAAGTGGATATTTGGACCTCTTTGAGGCCTTCGTTGGAAACGGGATTTCCTCATATAATGTTACACAGAAGAATTCTCACTAACTTATTTGTGGTGTGTGTATTCAACTCACAGAGATGAACCTTCCTTCAGAAAGAGCAGATTTGAAACACTCTTTTTGTGGAGTTTCCATGTGGAGATTTCAATCGCTTTGAGACCAAAGGTAGAAAAGGAAACATCTTCGTATAACAACTAGACAGAATCATTCACAGAAACTACTTTGTGATGTGTGTGTTCAACTCAAGGAGTTTAACCTTTCTTTTGATGGAGCAGTTTGGAAACACTCTGTCTGTAAAGTCTGCAAGCAGATATTTGGACCTCTTTGAGGCCTTCATTGGAAACGGGATTTCTTCATATAATGTATGATAGTAGAAGTCTCAGTAACTTCTTTGTGCTGTGTGTATTCAACTCATTGATTTGAACTTTCCTTTAGAACAGCAGATGTTAAACACCCTTTTTGTGGAATTTGCAGCTGGAGATTTCAAGCGCTTTGAGGCCTACTGTAGAAAAGGAAACATCTTCTTATAAAATCTAGACAGAATCATTCACAGAAACTTCTTTTTGATGTGTGTGTTCAGCTCACAGAGTTTAACCTTTCTTTTGATGGAGCAGTTTGGAAACACTCTGTTTGTAATGTCTGCAAGTGGATATTTGGACCTCTTTGAGGCCTTCGTTGGAAACGGGATTTCTTCATGTAATGTTCGACAGAAGAATTCTCAGTAACTTATTTGTGGTGTGTGTATTCAACTCAAAGAGTTGAACCTTCCTTTAGACAGAGCAGATTTGAAACACCCTATTTGTGCAGTTTCCAGTTGGAGATTTCAATCGCTTTGAGACCAAATGTAGAAAAGGAAACATCTTCGTATAAAAACTAGACAGAATCATTCTCAGAAACTACTTTGTGATGTGTGCGTTCAACTCAAGGAGTTTAAGCTTTCTTTTCATAGAGTAGTTTGGAAACACTCTGTCTGTAAAGTCTGCAAGCAGATATTTGGACCTCTTTGGGGCCTTCGTTGGAAACGGGATTTCTTCATAGAACGCTAGAAAGAAGAATACTGAGTAAGTTCTTTGTGTTGCCTCTATTCAACTCACAGAGGTGAACTGTCCTTTAGACAGAGCAGATGTGAAACCCTCTTTTTGTGATATTTGCAGGTGGAGATTTCAAGCGCTTTTAGGCCAAATGTAGAAAAGGAAATATCTTCGTATAAAAACTAGACAGAATCATTCTCAGAAACTACTTTGTGATGTGTGCGTTCAATTCACAGAGTATAACCTTTCTTTTGATGGAGGAGTTTGGAGACACTGTCTTTGTAAAGTCTGCAAGTGGATATTTGGACCTCTTTGAGGCCTTCGTTGGAAACGGGATTTCCTCATATAATGTTACCCAGAAGAATTCTCAGTAACTTATTTGTGGTGTGTGTATTCAACTCACAGAGTTGAACCTTCCTTCAGAAAGAGCAGATTTGAAACACTCTTTTTGTGGAGTTTCCATGTGGAGATTTCAATCGCTTTGAGACCAAAGGTAGAAAAGGAAACATCTTCGTATAAAAACTAGACAGAATCATTCACAGAAACTACTTTGTGATGTGTGTGTTCAACTCAAGGAGTTTAACCTTTCTTTTGATGGAGCAGTTTGGAAACACTCTGTCTGTAAAGTCTGCAAGCAGACATTTGGACCTCTTTGAGGCCTTCGTTGGAAACGGGATTTCTTCATATAATGTTTGATAGGAGAAGTCTCAGTAACTTCTTTGTGATGTGTGTATTCAACTCATAGAGTTGAACTTTCCTTTAGAAGAGCAGATGTTAAACACCCTTTTTGTGGAATTTGCAGCTGGAGATTTCAAGCGCTTTGAGGCCTACGGTAGAAAAGGAAACATCTTCTTATAAAATCTAGACAGAATCATTCACAGAAACTTCTTTTTGATGTGTGGGTTCAGCTCACAGAGTTTAACCTTTCTTTTGATGGAGCAGTTTGGAAACACACTGTTTGTAATCTCTGCAAGTGGATATTTGGACCTCTTTGAGGCCTTCGTTGGAAACGGGATTTCTTCATGTAATGTTCGACAGAAGAATTCTCAGCAACTTATTTGTGGTGTGTGTATTCAACTCACAGAGTTGAACCTTCCTTTAGACAGAGCAGATTTGAAACACCCTATTTGTGCAGTTTCCATTTGGAGATTTCAAACGCTTTGAGAACAAATGTAGAAAAGGAAACATCTTCGTATAAAAACTAGACAGAATCATTCTCAGAAACTACTTTGTGATGTGTGCGTTCAACTCAAGGAGTTTAAGCTTTCTTTTCATAGAGTAGTTTGGAAACACTCTGTCTGTAAAGTCTGCAAGCAGATATTTGGACCTCTTTGGGGCCTTCGTTGGAAACGGGATTTCTTCATAGAACGCTAGAAAGAAGAATACTGAGTAAGTTCTTTGTGTTGCCTCTATTCAACTCACAGAGGTGAACTGTCCTTTAGACAGAGCAGATGTGAAACCCTCTTTTTGTGATATTTGCAGGTGGAGATTTCAAGCGCTTTTAGGCCAAATGTAGAAAAGGAAACATCTTCGTATAAAAACTAGACAGAATCATTCTCAGAAACTACTTTGTGATGTGTGCGTTCAATTCACAGAGTATAACCTTTCTTTTGATGGAGGAGTTTGGAGACACTGTCTTTGTAAAGTCTGCAAGTGGATATTTGGACCTCTTTGAGGCCTTCGTTGGAAACGGGATTTCCTCATATAATGTTACACAGAAGAATTCTCAGTAACTTATTTGTGGTGTGTTTATTCAACTCACAGAGGTGAACCTTCCTTCAGAAAGAGCAGATTTGAAACACTCTTTTTGTGGAGTTTCCATGTGGAGATTTCAATCGCTTTGAGACCAAAGGTAGAAAAGGAAACATCTTCGTATAAAAACTAGACAGAATCATTCACAGAAACTACTTTGTGATGTGTGTGTTCAACTCAAGGAGTTTAACCTTTCTTTTGATGGAGCAGTTTGGAAACACTCTGTCTGTAAAGTCTGCAAGCAGATATTTGGACCTCTTTGAGGCCTTCGTTGGAAACGGGATTTCTTCATATAATGTTTGATAGGAGAAGTCTCAGTAACTTCTTTGTGCTGTGTGTATTCAACTCATTGAGCTGAACTTTCCTTTAGTAGAGCAGATGTTAAACACCCTTTTTGTGGAATTTGCAGCTGGAGATTTCAAGCGCTTTGAGGCCTACGGTAGAAAAGGAAACATCTTCTTATAAAATCTAGACAGAATCATTCACAGAAACTTCTTTTTGATGTGTGTGTTCATCTCACAGACTTTAACCTTTCTTTTGACGGAGCAGTTTGCAAACACTGTGTTTGCCATGTCGGCAAGTGGATATTTCGACCTCTTTGAAGCCTTCGTTGGAAACGGGATTTCTTCATGTAATGTTCGAGAGAAGAATTCTCAGTAACTTATTTGTGGTGTGTGTATTCAACTCAAAGAGTTGAACCTTCCTTTAGACAGAGCAGATTTGAAACACCCTATTTGTGCAGTTTCCAGTTGGAGATTTCAATCGCTTTGAGACCAAATGTAGAAAAGGAAACATCTTCGTATAAAAACTAGACAGAATCATTCTCAGAAACTACTTTGTGATGTGTGCGTTCAACTCATGGAGTTTAAGCTTTCTTTTCATAGAGTAGTTTGGAAACACTCTGTCTGTAAAGTCTGCAAGCAGATATTTGGACCTCTTTGAGGCCTTCGTTGGAAACGGGATTTCTTCATATAACGCTAGAAAGAAGAATACTCAGTAACTTCTTTGTGTTGCCTCTATTCAACTCACAGAGTTGAACTGTCCTTTAGACAGAGCAGATGTGAAACCCTCTTTTTGTGATATTTGCAGGTGGAGATTTCAAGCGCTTTTAGGCCAAATGTAGAAAAGGAAATATACTTCGTATAAAAACTAGACAGAATCATTCTCATAAACTACTTGGTGATGTGTGCGTTGAATTCACAGAGTATAACCTTTGTTTTGATGGAGGAGTTTGGAGACACTGTCTTTGTAATGTCTGTAAGTGGATATTTGGACCTCTTTGAAGCCTTCGTTGGAAACGGGTTTTCCTCATATAAAGTTACACAGATGAATTCTCAGTAACTTACTTGTGCTGTGTGTATTCATCTCAAAGAGTTGAACCTTCCTTCCGAAAGAGCAGATTTGAAACACTCCTTTTGTGGAGTTTCCATGTGGAGATTTCAAGCGCTTTGAGGCCTATGGTAGAAAAGGAAACATCTTCGTATAAAATCTAGACAGAATCATTCACAGCAAACTACTTTGTGATGTGTGTGTTCAACTCAAGGAGTTTAACCTTTCTTTTGATGGAGCAGTTTGGAAACACTCTGTCTGTAAAGTCTGCAAGCAGATACTTGGACCTCTTTGAGGCCTTCGTTGGAAACGGGATTTCTTCATATAATGTTTGATAGGAGAAGTCTCAGTAACTTCTTTGTGCTGTGTGTATTCAACTCATAGAGTTGAACTTTCCTTTAGAAGAGCAGATGATAAACACCCGTTTTGTGGAATTTGCAGCTGGAGATTTCAAGCGCTTTGAGGCCTACGGTAGAAAAGGAAACATCTTCTTATAAAATCTAGACAGAATCATTCAAAGAAACTTCTTTTTGATGTGTGTGTTCAGCTCACAGAGTTTAACCTTTCTTTTGATGGAGCAGTTTGGAAACACTCTGTAATGTCTGCAAGTGGATATTTGGACCTCTTTGAGGCCTTCGTTGGAAACGGGATTTCTTCATGTAATGTTCGACAGAAGAATTCACAGTAACTTATTTGCGGTGTGTGTATTCAACTCACAGAGTTGACCCTTCCTTTAGACAGATCAGATTTGAAACTCCCTATTTGTGCAGTTTCCAGTTGGAGATTTCAATCGCTTTGAGACCAAATGTAGAAAAGGAAACATCTTCGTATAAAAACTAGACAGAATCATTCACAGAAACTACTTTGGATGTGTGTGTTCAACTCAAGGAGTTTAACCTTTCTTTTGATGGAGCAGTTTGGAAAAACTCTGTCTGTAAAGTCTGCAAGCAGATATTTGGACCTCTTTGGGGCCTTCGTTGGAAACGGGATTTCTTCATAGAATGCTAGAAAGAAGAATACTGAGTAAGTTCTTTGTGTTGCCTCTATTCAACTCACAGAGGTGAACTGTCCTTTAGACAGAGCAGATGTGAAACCCTCTTTTTGTGATATTTGCAGGTGGAGATTTCAAGCGCTTTTAGGCCAAATGTAGAAAAGGAAATATCTTCGTATAAAAACTAGACAGAATCATTCTCAGAAACTACTTTGTGATGTGTGCGTTCAATTCACAGAGTATAACCTTTCTTTTGATGGAGGAGTTTGGAGACACTGTCTTTGTAAAGTCTGCAAGTGGATATTTGGACCTCTTTGAGGCCTTCGTTGGAAACGGGATTTCCTCATATAATGTTACACAGAAGAATTCTCAGTAACTTATTTGTGGTGTGTGTATTCAACTCACAGAGTTGAACCTTCCTTCAGAAAGAGCAGATTTGAAACACTCTTTTTTGTGGAGTTTCCATGTGGAGATTTCAATCGCTTTGAGACCAAAGGTAGAAAAGAAAACATCTTCGTATAAAAACTAGACAGAATCATTCACAGAAACTACTTTGTGATGTGTGTGTTCAACTCAAGGAGTTTAACCTTTCTTTTGATGGAGCAGTTTGGAAACACTCTGTCTGTAAAGTCTGCAAGTAGATATTTGGACCTCTTTGAGGCCTTCGTTGGAAACGGGATTTCTTCATATAATGTTTGATAGGAGAAGTCTCATTAACTTCTTTGTGCTGTGTGTATTCAACTCATAGAGTTGAACTTTCCTTTAGAAAAGCAGATGTTAAACCCCCTTTTTGTGGAATTTGCAGCTGGAGATTTCTAGCGCTTTGAGGCCTACGGTAGAAAAGGAAACATCTTCTTATAAAATCTAGACAGAATCATTCACAGAAACTTCTTTTTGATGTGTGTGTTCAGCTCACAGAGTTTAACCTTTCTTTTCATGGAGCAGTTTGGAAACACTCTGTTCGTAATGTCTGCAAGTGGATATTTGGACCTCTTTGAGGCCTTCGTTGGAAACGGGATTTCTTCATGTAATGTTCGACAGAAGAATTCTCAGTTACTTATTTGTGGTGTGTGTATTCAACTCACAGAGTTGAACCTTCCTTTAGACAGAGCAGATTTGAAACACCCTATTTGTGCAGTTTCCAGTTGGAGATTTCAATGGTTTGAGGCCAATCATAGAAACGGAAATATCTTCGTATAAAAACAAGACAGAATCATTCTCAGAAACTACATTGTGATGTGTGCATTCAACTCAAGGAGTTTAAGTTTTCTTTTCATAGAGTAGTTTGGAAACACTCTGTCTGTAAAGTCTGCAAGCAGATATTTGGACCTCTTTGAGGCCTTCGTTGGAAACGGGATTTCTTCATATAACGCTAGAAAGAAGAATACTCAGAAAGTTCTTTGTGTTGCCTCTATTGAACTCACAGAGGTGAACTGTCCTTTAGACAGAGCAGATGTGAAAGCCTCTTTTTGTGATATTTGCAGGTGGAGATTTCAAGCGCTTTTAGGCCAAATGTAGAAAAGGAAATATCTTCGTATAAAAACTAGACAGAATCATTCTCAGAAACTACTTTGTGATGTGTGCGTTCAATTCACAGAGTATAACCTTTCTTTTGATGGAGGAGTTTGGAGACACTGTCTTTGTAAAGTCTGCAAGCAGATATTTGGACCTCTTTGGGGCCATCGTTGGAAACGGGATTTCTTCATAGAATGCTAGAAAGAAGAATACTGAGTAAGTTCTTTGTGTTGCCTCTATTCAACTCACAGAGGTGAACTGTCCTTTAGACAGAGCAGATGTGAAACCCTCTTTTTGTGATATTTGCAGGTGGAGATTTCAAGCGCTTTTAGGCCAAATGTAGAAAAGGAAATATCTTCGTATAAAAACTAGACAGAATCATTCTCAGAAACTACTTTGTGATGTGTGCGTTCAATTCACAGAGTATAACCTTTCTTTTGATGGAGGAGTTTGGAGACACTGTCTTTGTAAAGTCTGCAAGTGGATATTTGGACCTCTTTGAGGCCTTCGTTGGAAACGGGATTTCCTCATATAATGTTACACAGAAGAATTCTCAGTAACTTATTTGTGGTGTGTGTATTCAACTCACAGAGTTGAACCTTCCTTCAGAAAGAGCAGATTTGAAACACTCTTTTTGTGGAGTTTCCATGTGGAGATTTCAATCGCTTTGAGACCAAAGGTAGAAAAGGAAACATCTTCTTATAAAAACTAGACAGAATCATTCACAGAAACTACTTTGTGATGTGTGTGTTCAACTCAAGGAGTTTAACCTTTCTTTTGATGGAGCAGTTTGGAAACACTCTGTCTGTAAAGTCTGCAAGCAGATATTTGGACCTCTTTGAGGCCTTCGTTGGAAACGGGATTTCTTCATATAATGTTTGATAGGAGAAGTCTCAGTAACTTCTTTGTGCTGTGTGTATTCAACTCATAGAGTTGAACTTTCCTTTAGAAGAGCAGATGTTAAACACCCTTTTTGTGGAATTTGCAGCTGGAGATTTCAAGCGCTTTGAGGCCTACGGTAGAAAAGGAAACATCTTCTTATAAAATCTAGACAGAATCATTCACAGAAACTTCTTTTTGATGTGTCTGTTCAGCTCACAGAGTATAACCTTTCTTTTGATGGAGCAGTTTGGAAACACTCTGTTTGTAATGTCTGCAAGTGGATATTTGGACCTCTTTGTGGCTTTCGTTGGAAACGGGATTTCTTCAAGTAATGTTCGACAGAAGAATTCTCAGTAACTTATTTGTGGTGTGTGTATTCAACTCCCTGAGTTGAACCTTCCTTTAGACAGAGCAGATTTGAAACACCCTATTTGTGCAGTTTCCAGTTGGAGATTTCAATCGCTTTGAGACCAAATGTAGAAAAGGAAACATCTTCGTATAAAAACTAGACAGCATCATTCTCAGAAACTACTTTGTGATGTGTGCGTTCAACTCAAGGAGTTTAAGCTTTCTTTTCATAGAGTAGTTTGGAAACACTCTGTCTGTAAAGTCTGCAAGCAGATATTTGGACCTCTTTGAGGCCTTCGTTGGAAACGGGATTTCTTCATAGAACGCTAGAAAGAAGAATACTGAGTAAGTTCTTTGTGTTGCCTCTATTCAACTCACAGAGGTGAACTGTCCTTTAGACAGAGCAGATGTGAAACCCTCTTTTTGTGATATTTGCAGGTGGAGATTTCAAGCGCTTTTAGGCCAAATGTAGAAAAGGAAATATCTTCGTATAAAAACTAGACAGAATCGTTCTCAGAAACTACTTTGTGATGTGTGCGTTCAATTCACAGAGTATAACCTTTCTTTTGATGGAGGAGTTTGGAGACACTGTCTTTGTAAAGTCTGCAAGTGGATATTTGGACCTCTTTGAGGCCTTCGTTGGAAACGGGATTTCCTCATATAATGTTACACAGAAGAATTCTCAGTAACTTATTTGTGGTGTGTGTATTCAACTCACAGAGTTGAACCTTCCTTCAGAAAGAGCAGATTTGAAACACTCTTTTTGTGGTGTTTCCATGTGGAGATTTCAATCGCTTTGAGACCAAAGGTCGAAAAGGAAACATCTTCGTAGATAAACTAGACAGAATCATTCACAGAAACTACTTTGTGATGTGTGTGTTCAACTCAAGGAGTTTAACCTTTCTTTTGATGGAGCAGTTTGGAAAAACTCTGTCTGTAAAGTCTGCAAGCAGATATTTGGACCTCTTTGAGGCCTTCGTTGGAAACGGGATTTCTTCATATAATGTTTGATAGGAGAAGTCTCAGTAACTTCTTTGTGCTGTGTGTATTCAACTCATAGAGTTGAACTTTCCTTTAGAAGAGCAGATGTTAAACACCCGTTTTGTGGAATTTGCAGGTGGAGATTTCAAGCGCTTTGAGGCCTACGGTAGAAAAGGAAACATCTTCTTATAAAATCTAGACAGAATCATTCACAGAAACTTCTTTTTGATGTGTGTGTTCAGCTCACAGAGTTTAACCTTTCTTTTGATGGAGCAGTTTGGAAACACTCTGTTTGTAATGTCTGCAAGTGGATATTTGGACCTCTTTGAGGCCTTCGCTGGAAACGGGATTTCTTCCTGTAATGTTCGACAGAAGAATTCTCAGTAACTTATTTGTGGTGTGTGTATTCAACTCACAGAGTTGAACCTTCCTTTAGACAGAGCAGATTTGAAACACCCTATTTGTGCAGTTTCCTGTTGGAGATTTCAATCGCTTTGAGACCAAATGTAGAAAAGGAAACATCTTCGTATAAAAACTAGACAGAATCATTCTCAGAAACTACTTTGTGATGTGTGCGTTCAACTCAAGGAGTTTAAGCTTTCTTTTCATAGAGTACTTTGGAAACACTCTGTCTGTAAAGTCTGCAAGCAGATATTTGGACCTCATTGGGGTCTTCGTTGGAAAAGGGATTTCTTCATAGAACGCTAGAAAGAAGAATACTGAGTAAGTTCTTTGTGTTGCCTCTATCCAACTCACAGAGGTGAACTGTCCTTTAGACAGAGCAGATGTGAAACCCTCTTTTTGTGATATTTGCAGGTGGAGATTTCAAGCGCTTTTAGGCCAAATGTAGAAAAGGAAATATCTTCGGTATAAAAACTAGACAGAATCATTCTCAGAAAATACTTTGTGATGTGTGCGTTCAATTCACCGAGTATAACCTTTCTTTTGATGGAGGAGTTTGGAGACACTGTCTTTGTAAAGTCTGCAAGTGGATATTTGGACCTCTTTGAGGCCTTCGTTCAAACGGGATTTCCTCATATATTGTTACACAGAAGAATTCTCAGTAACTTATTTGTGGTGTGTGTATTCAACTCACAGAGTTGAACCTTCCTTCAGAAAGAGCAGATTTGAAACACTCTTTTTGTGGAGTTTCCATGTGGAGATTTCAATCGCTTTGAGACCAAAGGTAGAAAAGGAAACATCTTCGTATAAAAACTAGACAGAATCATTCACAGAAACTACTTTGTGATGTGTGTGTTCAACTCAAGGAGTTTAACCTTTCTTTTGATGGAGCAGTTTGGAAACACTCTGTCTGTAAAGTCTGCAAGCAGATATTTGGACCTCTTTGAGGCCTTCGTTGGAAACGGGATTTCTTCATATAATGTTAGACAGAAGAAGTCTCAGTAACTTCTTTGTGCTGTGTGTATTCAACTCATAGAGTTGAACTTTCCTTTAGAAGAGCAGATGTTAAACACCCTTTTTGTGGAATTTGCAGCTGGAGATTTCAAGCGCTTTGAGGCCTACGGTAGAAAAGGAAACATCTTCTTATAAAATCTAGACAGAATCATTCACAGAAACTTCTTTTTGATGTGTGTGTTCAGCTCACAGAGTTTAACCTTTCTTTTGATGGAGCAGTTTGGAAACACTCTGTTTGTAATGTCTGCAAGTGGATATTTGGACCTCTTTGAGGCCTTCGTTGGAAACGGGATTCTTCAAGTAATGTTCGACAGAAGAATTCTCAGTAACTTATTTGTGGTGTGTGTATTCCACTCACAGAGTTGAACCTTCCTTTAGACAGAGCAGATTTGAAACACCCTATTTGTGCAGTTTCCAGTTGGAGATTTCAATCGCTTTGAGACCAAATGTAGAAAAGGAAACATCTTCGTATAAAAACTAGACAGAATCATTCTCAGAAACTACTTTGTGATGTGTGCGTTCAACTCAAGGAGTTTAAGCTTTCTTTTCATAGAGTAGTTTGGAAACACTCTGTCTGTAAAGTCTACAAGCAGATATTTGGACCTCTTTGGGGCCTTCGTTGGAAACGGGATTTCTTCATACAACGCTAGAAAGAAGAATACTGAGTAAGTTCTTGGTGTTGCCTCTATTCAACTCATAGTGGTGAACTGTCCTTTAGACAGAGCAGATGTGAAACCCTCTTTTTGTGATATTTGCAGGTGGAGATTTCAAGCGCTTTTAGGCCAAATGTAGAAAAGGAAATATCTTCGCATAAAAACTAGACAGAATCATTCTCAGAAACTACTTTGTGATGTGTGCGTTCAATTCATAGAGTATAACCTTTCTTTTGATGGAGAAGTTTGGAGACACTGTCTTTGTAAAGTCTGCAAGTGGATATTTGGACCTCTTTGAGGCCTTCGTTGGAAACGGGATTTCCTCATATAATGTTACACAGAAGAATTCTCAGTAACTTATTTGTGGTGTGTGTATTCAACTCACAGAGTTGAACCTTCCTTCAGAAAGAGCAGATTTGAAACACTCTTTTTGTGGAGTTTCCATGTGGAGATTTCAATCGCATTGAGACCAAAGGTAGAAAAGGAAACATCTTCGTATAAAAACTAGACAGAATCATTCACAGAAACTACTTTGTGATGTGTGTGTTCAACTCAAGGAGTTTAACCTTTCTTTTGATGGAGCAGTTTGGAAACACTCTGTCTGTAAAGTCTGCAAGCAGATATTTGGACCTCTTTGAGGCCTTCGTTGGAAACGGGATTTCTTCATATAATGTTTGATAGGAGAAGTCTCAGTAACTTCTTTGTGCTGTGTGTATTCAACTCATAGAGTTGAACTTTCCTTTAGAAGAGCAGATGTTAAACCCCCTTTTTGTGGAATTTGCAGCTGGAGATTTCAAGCGCTTTGAGGCCTACGGTAGAAAAGGAAACATCTTCTTATAAAATCTAGACAGAATCATTCACAGAAACTTCTTTTTGATGTGTGTGTTCAGCTCACAGAGTTTAACCTTTCTTTTGATGGAGCAGGTGGGAAACACACTGTTTGTAATGTCTGCAAGTGGATATTTGGACCTCTTTGAGGCCTTCGTTGGAAACGGGATTTCTTCATGTAATGTTCGACAGAAGAATTCTCAGTAACTTATTTGTGGTGTGTGTATTCAACTCACAGAGTTGAACCTTCCTTTAGACAGAGCAGATTTGAAACACCCTATTTGTGCAGTTTCCAGTTGGAGATTTCAATCGCTTTGAGACCAAATGTAGAAAAGGAAATATCTTCGTATAAAAACTAGACAGAAATCATTCTCAGAAACTACTTTGTGATGTGTGCGTTCAACTCAAGGAGTTTAAGCTTTCTTTTCATAGAGTAGTTTGGAAACACTCTGTCTGTAAAGTCTGCAAGCAGATATTTGGACCTCTTTAGGGCCTTCGTTGGAAACGGGATTTCTTCATAGAACGCTAGAAAGAAGAATACTGAGTAAGTTCTTTGTGTTGCCTCTATTCAACTCACAGAGGTGAACTGTCCTTTAGACAGAGCAGATGTGAAACCCTCTTTTTGTGATATTTGCAGGTGGAGATTTCAAGCGCTTTTAGGCCAAATGTAGAAAAGGAAATATCTTCGTATAAAAACTAGACAGAATCATTCTCAGAAACTACTTTGTGACGTGTGCGTTCAATTCACAGAGTATAACCTTTCTTTTGATGGAGGAGTTTGGAGACACTGTCTTTGTAAAGTCTGCAAGTGGATATTTGGACCTCTTTGAGGCCTTCGTTGGAAACGGGATTTCCTCATATAATGTTACACAGAAGAATTCTCAGTAACTTATTTGTGGTGTGTGTATTCAACTCACAGAGTTGAACCTTCCTTCAGAAAGAGCAGATTTGAAACACTCTTTTTGTGGAGTTTCCATGTGGAGATTTCAATCGCTTTGAGACCAAAGGTAGAAAAGGAAACATCTTCGTATAAAAACTAGACAGAATCATTCACAGAAACTACTTTGTGATGTGTGTGTTCAACTCAAGGAGTTTAACCTTTCTTTTGATGGAGCAGTTTGGAAATACTCTGTCTGTAAAGTCTGCAAGCAGATATTTGGACCTCTTTGAGGCCTTCGTTGGAAACGGGATTTCTTCATATAATGTTTGATAGGAGAAGTCTCAGTAACTTCTTTGTGCTGTGTGTATTCAACTCATAGAGTTGAACTTTCCTTTAGAAGAGCAGATGTTAAACACCCTTTTTGTGGAATTTGCAGCTGGAGATTTCAAGCGCTTTGAGGCCTACGGTAGAAAAGGAAACATCTTCTTATAAAATCTAGACAGAATCATTCACAGGAAACTTCTTTTTGATGTGTGTGTTCAGCTCACAGAGTTTAACCTTTCTTTTGATGGAGCAGGTTGGAAACACTCTGTTTGTAATGTCTGCAAGTGGATATTTGGACCTCTTTGAGGCCTTCGTTGGAAACGGGATTTCTTCAAGTAATGTTCGACAGAAGAATTCTCAGTAACTTATTTGTGGTGTGTGTATTCAACTCACAGAGTTGAACCTTCCTTTAGACAGAGCAGATTTGAAACACCCTATTTGTGCAGTTTCCAGTTGGAGATTTCAATCGCTTTGAGACCAAATGTAGAAAAGGAAACATGCTTCGTATAAAAACTAGACAGAATCATTCTCAGAAACTACTTTGTGATGTGTGCGTTCAACTCAAGGAGTTTAAGCTTTCTTTTCATAGAGTAGTTTGGAAACACTCTGTCTGTAAAGTCTGCAAGCAGATATTTGGACCTCACTGGGGCCTTCGTTGCAAACGTGATTTCTTCATAGAACGCTGGAAAGAAGAATACTGAGTAAGTTCTTTGTGTTGCCTCTACTCAACTCACAGAGGTGAACTGTCCTTTAGACAGAGCAGATGTGAAACCCTCTTTTTGTGATATTTGCAGGTGGAGATTTCAAGCGCTTTTAGGCCAAATGTAGAAAAGGAAATATCTTCGTATAAAAACTAGACAGAATCATTCTCAGAAACTACTTTGTGATGTGTGCGTTCAATTCACAGAGTATAACCTTTCTTTTGATGGAGGAGTTTGGAGACACTGTCTTTGTAAAGTCTGCAAGTGGATATTTGGACCTCTTTGAGGCCTTCGTTGGAAACGGGATTTCCTCATATAATGTTACACAGAAGAATTCTCAGTAACTTATTTGTGGTGTGTGTATTCAACTCACAGAGTTGAACCTTCCTTCAGAAAGAGCAGATTTGAAACACTCTTTTTGTGGAGTTTCCATGTGGAGATTTCAATCGCTTTGAGACCAAAGGTAGAAAAGGAAACATCTTCGTATAAAAACTAGACAGAATCATTCTCAGAAACTACTTTGTGATGTGTGCGTTCAACTCAAGGAGTTTAAGCTTTCTTTTCATAGAGTAGTTTGGAAACACTCTGTCTGTAAAGTCTGCAAGCAGATATTTGACCTCTTTGAGGCCTTCGTTGGAAACGGGATTTCTTCATATAATGTTTGATAGGAGAAGTCTCAGTAACTTCTTTGTGCTGTGTGTATTCAACTCATAGAGTTGAACTTTCCTTTAGAAGAGCAGATGTTAAACACCCTTTTTGTGGAATTTGCACCTAGAGATTTCAAGCGCTTTGAGGCCTACGGTAGAAAAGGAAACATCTTCTTATAAAATCTAGACAGAATCATTCACAGAAACTTCTTTTTGATGTGTGTGTTCAGCTCACAGAGTTTAACCTTTCTTTTGATGGAGCAGTTTGGAAACACTCTGTTTGTAATGTCTGCAAGTGGATATTTGGACCTCTTTGAGGCCTTCGTTGGAAACGGGATTTCTTCATGTAATGTTCGACAGAAGAATTCTCAGTAACTTATTTGTGGTGTGTGTATTCAACTCACAGAGTTGAACCTTCCTTTAGACAGAGCAGATTTGAAACACCCTATTTGTGCTGTTTCCAGTTGGAGATTTCAATCGCTTTGAGGCCAATCGTAGAAACGGAAATATCTTCGTATAAATACAAGACAGAATCATTCTCAGAAACTACTTTGTGATGTGTGCGTTCAACTCAAGGAGTTTAAGCTTTCTTTTCATAGAGTAGTTTGGAAACACTCTGTGTGTAAAGTCTGCAAGCAGATATTTGGACCTCTTTGGGGCCTTCGTTGGAAACGGGATTACTTCATAGAACGCTAGAAAGAAGAATACTGAGTAAGTTCTTTGTGTTGCCTCTATTCAACTCACAGAGGTGAACTGTCCTTTAGACAGAGCAGATGTGAAACCCTCTTTTTGTGATATTTGCAGGTGGAGATTTCAAGCGCTTTTAGGCCAAATGTAGAAAAGGAAATATCTTCGTATAAAAACTAGACAGAATCATTCTCAGAAACTACTTTGTGATGTGTGCGTTCAATTCACAGAGTATAACCTTTCTTTTGATGGAGGAGTTTGGAGACACTGTCTTTGTAAAGTCTGCAAGTGGATATTTGGACCTCTTTGAGGCCTTCGTTGGAAACGGGATTTCCTCATATAATGTTACACAGAACAATTCTCAGTAACTTATTTGTGGTGTGTGTATTCAACTCACAGAGTTGAACCTTCCTTCAGAAAGAGCAGATTTGAAACACTCTTTTTGTGGAGTTTCCATGTGGAGATTTCAATCGCTTTGAGACCAAAGGTAGAAAAGGAAACATCTTCATATAAAAACTAGACAGAATCATTCACAGAAACTACTTTGTGATGTGTGTGTTCAACTCAAGGAGTTTAACCTTTCTTTTGATGGAGCAGTTTGGAAACACTCTGTCTGTAAAGTCTGCAAGCAGATATTTGGACCTCTTTGAGGCCTTCGTTGGAAACGGGATTTCTTCATATAATGTTTGATAGGAGAAGTCTCAGTAACTTCTTTGTGCTGTGTGTATTCAACTCATAGAGTTGAACTTTCCTTTAGAAGAGCAGATGTTAAACACCCTTTTTGTGGAATTTGCAGCTGGAGATTTCAAGCGCTTTGAGGCCTACGGTAGAAAAGGAAACATCTTCTTATAAAATCTAGACAGAATCATTCAAAGAAACTTCTTTTTGATGTGTGTGTTCAGCTCACAGAGTTTAACCTTTCTTTTGATGGAGCAGTTTGGAAACACTCTGTAATGTCTGCAAGTGGATATTTGGACCTCTTTGAAGCCTTCGTTGGAAACGGGATTTCTTCATGTAATGTTCGACAGAAGAATTCTCAGTAACTTATTTGTGGTGTGTGTATTCAACTCACAGAGTTGAACCTTCCTTTAGACAGAGCAGATTTGAAACACCCTATTTGTGCAGTTTCCAGTTGGAGATTTCAATCGCTTTGAGACCAAATGTAGAAAAGGAAACATCTTCGTACAAAAACTAGACAGCATCATTCTCAGAAACTACTTTGTGATGTGTGCAGTTCAACTCAAGGAGTTTAAGCTTTCTTTTCATAGAGTAGTTTGGAAACACTCTGTCTGTAAAGTCTGCAAGCAGATATTTGGACCTCTTCGAGGCCTTCGTTGGAAACGGGATTTCTTCATAGAACGCTAGAAAGAAGAATACTGAGTAAGTTCTTTGTGTTGCCTCTATTCAACTCACAGAGGTGAACTGTCCTTTAGACAGAGCAGATGTGAAACCCTCTTTTTGTGATATTTGCAGGTGGAGATTTCAAGCGCTTTTAGGCCAAATGTAGAAAAGGAAATATCTTCGTATAAAAACTAGACAGAATCATTCTCAGAAACTACTTTGTGATGTGTGCGTTCAATTCACAGAGTATAACCTTTCTTTTGATGGAGGAGTTTGGAGACACTGTCTTTGTAAAGTCTGCAAGTGGATATTTGGACCTCTTTGAGGCCTTCGTTGGAAACGGGATTTCCTCATATAATGTTACACAGAAGAATTCTCAGTAACTTATTTGTGGTGTGTGTATTCAACTCACAGAGTTGAACCTTCCTTCAGAAAGAGCAGATTTGAAACACTCTTTTTGTGGAGTTTCCATGTGGAGATTTCAATCGCTTTGAGACCAAAGGTAGAAAAGGAAACATCTTCGTATAAAAACTAGACAGAATCATTCACAGAAACTACTTTGTGATGTGTGTGTTCAACTCAAGGAGTTTAACCTTTCTTTTGATGGAGCAGTTTGGAAAAACTCTGTCTGTAAAGTTTGCAAGCAGATATTTGGACCTCTTTGAGGCCTTCGTTGGAAACGGGATTTCTTCATATAATGTTTGATAGGAGAAGTCTCAGTAACTTCTTTGTGCTGTGTGTATTCAACTCATAGAGTTGAACTTTCCTTTAGAAGAGCAGATGTTAAACACCCTTTTTGTGGAATTTGCAGCTGGAGATTTCAAGCGCTTTGAGGCCTACGGTAGAAAAGGAAGCATCTTCTTATAAAATCTAGACAGAATCATTCACAGAAACTACTTTGTGTTGTGTGTGTTCAGCTCACAGTGTTTAACCTTTCTTTTGATGGTGCAGTTTGGAAACACTCTGTTTGACAAGTCTGCAAGTGGATATTTGGACCTCTTTGAGGCCTTCGTTGGAAACGGGATTTCTTCATATAATGTTAGACAGAAGAATTCTCAGTAACTTATTTGTGGTGTGTGTATTCAACTGACAGAGTTGAACCTTCCTTTAGACAGAGCAGATTTGAAACACCCTATTTGTGCAGTTTCCAGTTGGAGATTTCAATCGCTTTGAGACCAAATGTAGAAAAGGAAACATCTTCGTATAAAAACTAGACAGAATCATTCTCAGAAACTACTTTGTGATGTGTGCGTTCAACTCAAGGAGTTTAAGCTTTCTTTTCATAGAGTAGTTTGGAAACACTCTGTCTGTAAAGTCTGCAAGCAGATATTTGAACCTCTTTGAGGCCTTCGTTGGAAACGGGATTTCTTCATAGAACGCTAGAAAGAAGAATACTGAGTAAGTTCTTTGTGTTGCCTCTATTCAACTCACAGAGGTGAACTGTCCTTTAGACAGAGCAGATGTGAAACCCTCTTTTTGTGATATTTGCAGGTGGAGATTTCAAGCGCTTTTAGGCCAAATGTAGAAAAGGAAATATCTTCGTATAAAAACTAGACAGAATCATTCTCAGAAACTACTTTGTGATGAGTGCGTTCAATTCACAGAGTATAACCTTTCTTTTGATGGAGGAGTTTGGAGACACTGTCTTTGTAAAGTCTGCAAGTGGATATTTGGACCTCTTTGAGGCCTTCGTTGGAAACGGGATTTCCTCATATAATGTTACACAGAAGAATTCTCAGTAACTTATTTGTGGTGTGTTTATTCAACTCACAGAGGTGAACCTTCCTTCAGAAAGAGCAGATTTGAAACACTCTTTTTGTGGAGTTTCCATGTGGAGATTTCAATCGCTTTGAGACCAAAGGTAGAAAAGGAAACATCTTCGTATAAAAACTAGACAGAATCATTCACAGAAACTACTTTGTGATGTGTGTGTTCAACTCAAGGAGTTTAACCTTTCTTTTGATGGAGCAGTTTGGAAAAACTCTGTCTGTAAAGTCTGCAAGCAGATATTTGGACCTCTTTGAGGCCTTCGTTGGAAACGGGATTTCTTCATAGAATGCTAGAAAGAAGAAGTCTCAGTAACTTCTTTGTGCTGTGTGTATTCAACTCATAGAGTTGAACTTTCCTTTAGAAGAGCAGATGTTAAACACCCTTTTTGTGGAATTTGCAGCTGGAGATTTCAAGCGCTTTGAGGCCTACGGTAGAAAAGGAAACATCTTCTTATAAAATCTAGACAGAATCATTCACAGAAACTTCTTTTTGATGTGTGTGTTCAGCTCACAGAGTTTAACCTTTCTTTTGATGGAGCAGTTGGGAAACACACTGTTTGTAATGTCCGCAAGTGGATATTTGGACCTCTTTGAGGCCTTCATTGGAAACGGGATTTCTTCCTGTAATGTTCGACAGAAGAATTCTCAGTAACTTATTTGTGGTGTGTGTATTCAACTCACAGAGTTGAACCTTCCTTTAGACAGAGCAGATTTGAAACACCCTATTTGTGCAGTTTCCAGTTGGAGATTTCAATCGCTTTGAGACCAAATGTAGAAAAGGAAACATCTTCGTATAAAAACTAGACAGAATCATTCTCAGAAACTACTTTGTGATGTGTGCGTTCAACTCAAGGAGTTTAAGCTTTCTTTTCATAGAGTAGTTTGGAAACACTCTGTCTGTAAAGTCTGCAAGCAGATATTTGGACCTCTTTGGGGCCTTCGTTGGAAACGGGATTTCTTCATAGAACGCTAGAAAGAAGAATACTGAGTAAGTTCTTTGTGTTGCCTCTAT
Source organism: Homo sapiens (assembly GCF_000001405.40). NCBI lineage: Eukaryota > Metazoa > Chordata > Mammalia > Primates > Hominidae > Homo > Homo sapiens. The sequence continues at coordinate 37,157,257 of NC_000012.12, forward strand.
TCAACTCACAGAGGTGAACTGTCCTTTAGACAGAGCAGATGTGAAACCCTCTTTTTGTGATATTTGCAGGTGGAGATTTCAAGCGCTTTTAGGCCAAATGTAGAAAAGGAACTATCTTCGTATAAAAAATAGACAGAATCATTCTCAGAAACTACTTTGTGATGTGTGCGTTCAATTCACAGCAGTATAACCTTTCTTTTGACGGAGGAGTTTGGAGACACTGTCTTTGTAAAGTCTGCAAGCAGATATTTGGACCTCTTTGGGGCCTTCGTTGGAAACGGGATTTCTTCATAGAATGCTAGAAAGAAGAATACTGAGTAAGTTCTTTGTGTTGCCTCTATTCAACTCACAGAGGTGAACTGTCCTTTAGACAGAGCAGATGTGAAACCCTCTTTTTGTGATATTTGCAGGTGGAGATTTCAAGCGCTTTTAGGCCAAATGTAGAAAAGGAAATATCTTCGTATAAAAACTAGACAGAATCATTCTCAGAAACTACTTTGTGATGTGTGCGTTCAATTCACAGAGTATAACCTTTCTTTTGATGGAGGAGTTTGGAGACACTGTCTTTGTAAAGTCTGCAAGTGGATATTTGGACCTCTTTGAGGCCTTCGTTGGAAACGGGATTTCCTCATATAATGTTACCCAGAAGAATTCTCAGTAACTTCTTTGTGGTGTGTGTATTCAACTCACAGAGTTGAACCTTCCTTCAGAAAGAGCAGATTTGAAACACTCTTTTTGTGGAGTTTCCATGTGGAGATTTCAATCGCTTTGAGACCAAAGGTAGAAAAGGAAACATCTTCTTATAAAAACTAGACAGAATCATTCACAGAAACTACTTTGTGATGTGTGTGTTCAACTCAAGGAGTTTAACCTTTCTTTTGATGGAGCAGTTTGGAAACACTCTGTCTGTAAAGTCTGCAAGCAGACATTTGGACCTCTTTGAGGCCTTCGTTGGAAACGGGATTTCTTCATATAATGTTTGATAGGAGAAGTCTCAGTAACTTCTTTGTGCTGTGTGTATTCAACTCATAGAGTTGAACTTTCCTTTAGAAGAGCAGATGTTAAACACCCTTTTTGTGGAATTTGCAGCTGGAGATTTCAAGCGCTTTGAGGCCTACGGTAGAAAAGGAAACATCTTCTTATAAAATCTAGACAGAATCATTCACAGAAACTTCTTTTTGATGTGTGTGTTCAGCTCACAGAGTTTAACCTTTCTTTTGATGGAGCAGTTTGGAAACACTCTGTTTGTAATATCTGCAAGTGGATATTTGGACCTCTTTGAGGCCTTCGTTGGAAACGGGATTTCTTCAAGTAATGTTCGACAGAAGAATTCTCAGTAACTTATTTGTGGTGTGTGTATTCAACTCACAGAGTTGACCCTTCCTTTAGACAGATCAGATTTGAAACTCCCTATTTGTGCAGTTTCCAGTTGGAGATTTCAATTGCTTTGGGACCAAATGTAGAAAAGGAAAGATCTTCGTATAAAAACTAGACAGAATCATTCTCAGAAACTACTTTGTGATGTGTGCGTTTAACTCAAGGAGTTTAAGCTTTCTTTTCATAGAGTAGTTTGGAAACACTCTGTCTGTAAAGTCTGCAAGCAGATATTTGGACCTCTTTGAGGCCTTCGTTGGAAACGGGATTTCTTCATAGAACGCTAGAAAGAAGAATACTGAGTAAGTTCTTTGTGTTGCCTCTATTCAACTCACAGAGGTGAACTGTCCTTTAGACAGAGCAGATGTGAAACCCTCTTTTTGTGATATTTGCAGGTGGAGATTTCAAGCGCTTTTAGGCCAAATGTAGAAAAGGAAATATCTTCGTATAAAAACTAGACAGAATCATTCTCAGAAACTACTTTGTGATGTGTGCGTTCAATTCACAGAGTATAACCTTTCTTTTGATGGAGGAGTTTGGAGACACTGTCTTTGTAAAGTCTGCAAGTGGATATTTGGACCTCTTTGAGGCCTTCGTTGGAAACGGGATTTCCTCATATAATGTTACACAGAAGAATTCTCAGTAACTTATTTGTGGTGTGTGTATTCAACTCACAGAGTTGAACCTTCCTTCAGAAAGAGCAGATTTGAAACACTCTTTTTGTGGAGTTTCCATGTGGAGATTTCAATTGCTTTGAGACCAAAGGTAGAAAAGGAAACATCTTCGTATAAAAAATTGACAGAATAATTCACGGAAACTACTTTGTGATGTGTGTGTTCAACTCACAGAGTTTAAACTTTCTTTTGATGCAGCAGTTTGGAAACACTCTGTTTGTCACTTCTGCAAGTGGATATTTGGACCTCTTTGAGGCCTTCGTTGGAAACGGGATTTCTTCATATAATGTTTGATAGGAGAAGTCTCAGTAACTTCTTTGTGCTGTGTGTATTCAACTCATAGAGTTGAACTTTCCTTTAGAAGAGCAGATGTTAAACACCCTTTTTGTGGAATTTGCAGCTGGAGATTTCAAGCGCTTTGAGGCCTACGGTAGAAAAGGAAACATCTTCTTATAAAATCTAGACAGAATCATTCACAGAAACTTCTTTTTGATGTGTGTGTTCAGCTCACAGAGTTTAACCTTTCTTTTGATGGAGCAGTTTGGAAACACTCTGTTTGTAATGTCTGCAAGTGGATATTTGGACCTCTTTGAGGCCTTCGTTGGAAACGGGATTTCTTCATGTAATATTCGACAGAAGAATTCTCAGTAACTTATTTGTGGTGTGTGTATTGAACTCCCAGAGTTGAACCTCCCTTTAGACAGAGCAGATTTGAAACACCCTATTTGTGCAGTTTCCAGTTGGAGATTTCAATCGCTTTGAGACAAATGTAGAAAAGGAAACATCTTCGTATAAAAACTAGACAGAATCATTCTCAGAAACTACTTTGTGATGTGTGCGTTCAACTCAAGGAGTTTAAGCTTTCTTTTCATAGAGTAGTTTGGAAACACTCTGTCTGTAAAGTCTGCAAGCAGATATTTGGACCTCTTTGGGGCCTTCGTTGGAAACGGGATTTCTTCATAGAACGCTAGAAAGAAGAATACTGAGTAAGTTCTTTGTGTTGCCTCTATTCAACTCACAGAGGTGAACTGTCCTTTAGACAGAGCAGATGTGAAACCCTCTTTTTGTGATATTTGCAGGTGAAGATTTCAAGCGCTTTTAGGCCAAATGTAGAAAAGGAAATATCTTCGTATAAAAACTAGACAGAATCATTCTCAGAAACTACTTTGTGATGTGTGCGTTCAATTCACAGAGTATAACCTTTCTTTTGATGGAGGAGTTTGGAGACACTGTCTTTGTAAAGTCTGCAAGTGGATATTTGGACCTCTTTGAGGCCTTCGTTGGAAACGGGATTTCCTCATATAATGTTACACAGAAGAATTCTCAGTAACTTATTTGTGGTGTGTGTATTCAACTCACAGAGTTGAACCTTCCTTCAGAAAGAGCAGATTTGAAACACTCTTTTTGTGGAGTTTCCATGTGGAGATTTCAATCGCTTTGAGACCAAAGGTAGAAAAGGAAACATCTTCGTATAAAAACTAGACAGAATCATTCACAGAAACTACTTTGTGATGTGTGTGTTCAACTCAAGGAGTTTAACCTTTCTTTTGATGGAGCAGTTTGGAAATACTCTGTCTGTAAAGTCTGCAAGCAGATATTTGGACCTCTTTGAGGCCTTCGTTGGAAACGGGATTTCTTCATATAATGTTTGATAGGAGAAGTCTCAGTAACTTCTTTGTGCTGTGTGTATTCAACGCATAGAGTTGAACTTTCCTTTAGAAGAGCAGATGTTAAACACCCTTTTTGTGGAATTTGCAGCTGGAGATTTCAAGCGCTTTGAGGCCTACGGTAGAAAAGGAAACATCTTCTTATAAAATCTAGACAGAATCATTCACAGAAACTTCTTTCTGATGTGTGTGTTCATCTCACAGAGTTTAACCTTTCTTTTGACGGAGCAGTTTGCAAACACTGTGTTTGCATTGTCGGGAACTGGATATTTGGACCTCTTTCAGGCCTTCGTTGGAAACGGGATTTCTTCATGTAATGTTCGAGAGAAGAATTCTCAGTAACTTATTTGTGGTGTGTGTATTCAACTCACAGAGTTGAACCTTCCTTTAGACCGAGCAGATTTGAAACACCCTATTTGTGCAGTTTCCAGTTGGAGATTTCAATCGCTTTGAGACCAAATGTAGAAAAGGAAACATCTTCGTATAAAAACTAGACAGAATCATTCTCAGAAAACTACTTTGTGATGTGTGCGTTCAACTCAAGGAGTTTAAGCTTTCTTTTCATAGAGTAGTTTGGAAACACTCTGTCTGTAAAGTCTGCAAGCAGATATTTGGACCTCTTTGGGGCCTTCGTTGGAAATGTGATTTCTTCATAGAACGCTAGAAAGAAGAATACTGAGTACGTTCTTTGTGTTGCCTCTATTCAACTCACAGAGGTGAACTGTCCTTTAGACAGAGCAGATGTGAAACCCTCTTTTTGTGATATTTGCAGGTGGAGATTTCAAGCGCTTTTAGGCCAAATGTAGAAAAGGAAATATCTTCGTATAAAAACTAGACAGAATCATTCTCAGAAACTACTTTCTGATGTGTGCGTTCAATTCACAGAGTATAACCTTTCTTTTTATGGAGGAGTTTGGAGACACTGTCTTTGTAAAGTCTGCAAGTGGATATTTGGACCTCTTTGAGGCCTTCGTTGGAAACGGGATTTCCTCAGATAATGTTACACAGAAGAATTCTCAGTAACTTATTTGTGGTGTTTCTATTCAACTCACAGAGTTGAACCTTCCTTCAGAAAGAGCAGATTTGAAACACTCTTTTTGTGGAGTTTCCATGTGGAGATTTCAATCGCTTTGAGACCAAAGGTAGAATAGGAACCATCTTCGTATAAAAACTAGACAGAATCATTCACAGAAACTACTTTGTGATGTGTGTGTTCAACTCACAGAGTTTAACCTTTCTTTTGATGGAGCAGTTTGGAAACACTCTGTTTTTCACGTCTACAAGTGGATATTTGGACCTCTTTGAGGCCTTCGTTGGAAACGGGATTTCTTCATATAATGTTTGATAGGAGAAGTCTCAGTAACTTCTTTGTGCTGTGTGTATTCAACTCATAGAGTTGAACTTTCCTTTAGAAGAGCAGATGTTAAACACCCTTTTGTGGAATTTGCAGCTGGAGATTTCAAGCGCTTTGAGGCCTACGGTAGAAAAGGAAACATCTTCTTATAAAATCTAGACAGAATCATTCACAGAAACTTCTTTTTGATGTGTGTGTTCAGCTCACAGAGTTTAACCTTTCTTTTGATGGAGCAGTTTGGAAACACTCTGTTTGTAATGTCTGCAAGTGGATATTTGTACCTCTTTGAGGCCTTCGTTGGAAATGGGATTTCTTCATGTAATGTTCGACAGAAGAATTCTCAGTAACTTATTTGTGGTGTGTGTATTCAACTCACAGAGTTGAACCTTCCTTTAGACAGAGCAGATTTGAAACACCCTATTAGTGCAGTTTCCAGTTGGAGATTTCAATCGCTTTGAGGCCAATCATAGAAACGGAAATATCTTCGTATAAAAACAAGACAGAATCATTCTCAGAAACTACTTTGTGATGTGTGCGTTCAACTCAAGGAGTTTAAGCTTTCTTTTCATAGAGTAGTTTGGAAACACTCTGTCTGTAAAGTCTGCAAGCAGATATTTGGACCTCTTTGGGGCCTTCGTTGGAAACGGGATTTCTTCATAGAACGCTAGAAAGAAGAATACTGAGTAAGTTCTTTGTGTTGCCTCTATTCAACTCACAGAGGTGAACTGTCCTTTAGACAGAGCAGATGTGAAACCCTCTTTTTGTGATATTTGCAGGTGGAGATTTCAAGCGCTTTTAGGCCAAATGTAGAAAAGGAAATATCTTCGTATAAAAACTAGACAGAATCATTCTCAGAAACTACTTTGTGATGTGTGCGTTCAATTCACAGAGTATAACCTTTCTTTTGATGGAGGAGTTTGGAGACACTGTCTTTGTAAAGTCTGCAAGTGGATATTTGGACCTCTTTGAGGCCTTCGTTGGAAACGGGATTTCCTCATATAATGTTACACAGAAGAATTCTCAGTAACTTATTTGTGGTGTGTGTATTCAACTCACAGAGTTGAACCTTCCTTCAGAAAGAGCAGATTTGAAACACTCTTTTTGTGGAGTTTCCATGTGGAGATTTCAATCGCTTTGAGACCAAAGGTAGAAAAGGAAACATCTTCGTATAAAAACTAGACAGAATCATTCACAGAAACTACTTTGTGATGTGTGTGTTCAACTCAAGGAGTTTAACCTTTCTTTTGATGGAGCAGTTTGGAAACACTCTGTCTGTAAAGTCTGCAAGCAGATATTTGGACCTCTTTGAGGCCTTCGTTGGAAACGGGATTTCTTCATATAATGTTTGATAGGAGAAGTCTCAGTAACTTCTTTGTGATGTGTGTATTCAACGCATAGAGTTGAACTTTCCTTTAGAAGAGCAGATGTTAAACACCCTTTTTGTGGAATTTGCAGCTGGAGATTTCAAGCGCTTTGAGGCCTACGGTAGAAAAGGAAACATCTTCTTATAAAATCTAGACAGAATCATTCACAGAAACTTCTTTTTGATGTGTGTGTTCAGCTCACAGAGTTTAACCTTTGTTTTGAGGGAGCAGTTTGGAAACACACTGTTTGTAGTGTCTGCAAGTGGATATTTGGACCTCTTTGAGGCGTTCGTTGGAAACGGGATTTCTTCATGTAATGTTCGACAGAAGAATTCTCAGTAACTTATTTGTGGTGTGTGTATTCAACTCACAGAGTTGAACCTTCATTTAGACAGAGCAGATTTGAAACAGCCTATTTGTGCAGTTTCCAGTTGGAGATTTCAATCGCTTTGAGACCAAATGTAGAAAGGGAAACATCTTCGTATAAAAACTAGACAGAATCATTCTCAGAAACTACTTTGTGATGTGTGCGTTCAACTCAAGGAGTTTAAGCTTTCTTTTCATAGAGTAGTTTGGAAACACTCTGTCTGTAAAGTCTGCAAGCAGATATTTGGACCTCTTTGGGGCCTTCGTTGGAAACGGGATTTCTTCATAGAACGCTAGAAAGAAGAATACTGAGTAAGTTCTTTGTGTTGCCTCTATTCAACTCACAGAGGTGAACTGTCCTTTAGACAGAGCAGATGTGAAACCCTCTTTTTGTGATATTTGCAGGTGGAGATTTCAAGCGCTTTTAGGCCAAATGTAGAAAAGGAAATATCTTCGTATAAAAACTAGACAGAATCATTCTCAGAAACTACTTTGTGATGTGTGCGTTCAATTCACAGAGTATAACCTTTCTTTTGATGGAGGAGTTTGGAGACACTGTCTTTGTAAAGTCTGCAAGTGGATATTTGGACCTCTTTGAGGCCTTCGTTGGAAACGGGATTTCCTCATATAATGTTACACAGAAGAATTCTCAGTAACTTATTTGTGGTGTGTGTATTCAACTCACAGAGTTGAACCTTCCTTCAGAAAGAGCAGATTTGAAACACTCTTTTTGTAGAGTTTCCATGTGGAGATTTCAATCGCTTTGAGACCAAAGGTAGAAAAGGAAACATCTTCGTATAAAAACTAGACAGAATCATTCACAGAAACTACTTTGTGATGTGTGTGTTCAACTCAAGGAGTTTAACCTTTCTTTTGATGGAGCAGTTTGGAAAAACTCTGTCTGTAAAGTCTGCAAGCAGATATTTGGACCTCTTTGAGGCCTTCGTTGGAAACGGGATTTCTTCATATAATGTTTGATAGGAGAAGTCTCAGTAACTTCTTTGTGCTGTGTCTATTCAACTCATAGAGTTGAACTTTCCTTTAGAAGAGCAGATGTTAAACACCCTTTTTGTGGAATTTGCAGCTGGAGATTTCAAGCGCTTTGAGGCCTACGGTAGAAAAGGAAACATCTTCTTATAAAATCTAGACAGAATCATTCACAGAAACTTCTTTTTGATGTGTGTGTTCAGCTCACAGAGTTTAACCTTTCTTTTGATGGAGCAGTTTGGAAACACACTATTTGTAATGTCTGCAAGTGGATATTTGGACCTCTTTGAGGCCTTCGTTGGAAACGGAATTTTTTCAAGGAATGTTTGACAGAAGATTTCTCAGTAACTTATTTGTGTTGTGTGTATTCAACTCACAGAGTTGAACCTTCCTTTAGACAGAGCAGATTTGAAACACCCTATTTGTGCAATTTCCAGTTGGAGATTTCAATCGCTTTGAGACCAAAGGTAGAAAAGGAAACATCTTCGTATAAAAACTAGACAGAATCATTCTCAGAAACTACTTTGTGATGTGTGCGTTCAACTCAAGGAGTTTAAGCTTTCTTTTCATAGAGTAGTTTGGAAACACTCTGTCTGTAAAGTCTGCAAGCAGATATTTGGACCTCTTTGGGGCCTTCGTTGGAAACGGGATTTCTTCATAGAACGCTAGAAAGAAGAATACTGAGTAAGTTCTTTGTGTTGCCTCTATTCAACTCACAGAGGTGAACTGTCCTTTAGACAGAGCAGATGTGAAACCCTCTTTTTGTGATATTTGCAGGTGGAGATTTCAAGCGCTTTTAGGCCAAATGTAGAAAAGGAAATATCTTCGTATAAAAACTAGACAGAATCATTCTCAGAAACTACTTTGTGATGTGTGCGTTCAATTCACAGAGTATAACCTTTCTTTTGATGGAGGAGTTTGGAGACACTGTCTTTGTAAAGTCTGCAAGTGGATATTTGGACCTCTTTGAGGCCTTCGTTGGAAACGGGATTTCCTCATATAATGTTACACAGAAGAATTCTCAGTAACTTATTTGTGGTGTGTGTATTCAACTCACAGAGTTGAACCTTCCTTCAGAAAGAGCAGATTTGAAACACTCTTTTTGAGGAGTTTCCATGTGGAGATTTCAATCGCTTTGAGACCAAAGGTAGAAAAGGAAACATCTTCTTATAAAAACTAGACAGAATCATTCACAGAAACTACTTTGTGATGTGTGTGTTCAACTCAAGGAGTTTAACCTTTCTTTTGATGGAGCAGTTTGGAAACACTCTGTCTGTAAAGTCTGCAAGCAGATATTTGGACCTCTTTGAGGCCTTCGTTGGAAACGGGATTTCTTCATATAATGTTTGATAGGAGAAGTCTCAGTAACTTCTTTGTGCTGTGTGTATTCAACTCATAGAGTTGAACTTTCCTTTAGAAGAGCAGATGTTAAACACCCTTTTTGTGGAATTTGCAGCTGGAGATTTCAAGCGCTTTGAGGCCTACGGTAGAAAAGGAAACATCTTCTTATAAAATCTAGACAGAATCATTCACAGAAACTTCTTTTTGATGTGTGGGTTCAGCTCACAGAGTTTAACCTTTCTTTTGATGGAGCAGTTTGGAAACACACTGTTTGTAATCTCTGCAAGTGGATATTTGGACCTCTTTGAGGCCTTCGTTGGAAAAGGGATTTCTTCATGTAATGTTCGACAGAAGAATACTCAGTAACTTATTTGTGGTGTGTGTATTCAACTCACAGAGTTGAACCTTCCTTTAGACAGAGCAGATTTGAAACACCCTATTTGTGCAGTTTCCAGTTGGAGATTTCAATCGCTTTGAGACCAAATGTAGAAAAGGAAACATCTTCGTATAAAAACTAGACAGCATCATTCTCAGAAACTACTTTGTGATGTGTGCGTTCAACTCAAGGAGTTTAAGCTTTCTTTTCATAGAGTAGTTTGGAAACACTCTGTCTGTAAAGTCTGCAAGCAGATATTTGGACCTCTTTGGGGCCTTCGTTGGAAACGGGATTTCTTCATAGAACGCTAGAAAGAAGAATACTGAGTAAGTTCTTTGTGTTGCCTCTATTTAACTCACAGAGGTGAACTGTCCTGTAGACAGAGCAGATGTGAAACCCTCTTTTTGTGATATTTGCAGGTGGAGATTTCAAGCGCTTTTAGGCGAAATGTAGAAAAGGAAATATCTTCGTATAAAAACTAGACAGAATCATTCTCAGAAACTACTTTGTGATGTGTGCGTTCAATTCACAGAGTATAACCTTTCTTTTGGTGGAGGAGTTTGGAGACACTGTCTTTGTAAAGTCTGCAAGTGGATATTTGGACCTCTTTGAGGCCTCCGTTGGAAACGGGATTTCCTCATATAATGTTACACAGAAGAATTCTCAGTAACTTATTTCTGGTGTGTGTATTCAACTCACAGAGTTGAACCTTCCTTCAGAAAGAGCAGATTTGAAACACTCTTTTTGTGGAGTTTCCATGTGGAGATTTCAATCGCTTTGAGACTAAAGGTAGAAAAGGAAACATCTTCGTATAAAAACTAGACAGAATCATTCACAGAAACTACTTTGTGATGTGTGTGTTCAACTCAAGGAGTTTAACCTTTCTTTTGATGGAGCAGTTTGGAAAAACTCTGTCTTTAAAGTCTGCAAGCACATATTTTGACCTCTTTGAGGCCTTCGTTGGAAACGGGATTTCTTCATATAATGTTTGATAGGAGAAGTCTCAGTAACTTCTTTGTGCTGTGTGTATTCAACTCATAGAGTTGAACTTTCCTTTAGAAGAGCAGATGTTAAACACCCTTTTTGTGGAATTTGCAGCTGGAGATTTCAAGCGCTTTGAGGCCTACGGTAGAAAAGGAAACATCTTCTTATAAAATCTAGACAGAATCATTCACAGAAACTTCTTTTTGATGTGTGTGTTCAGCTCACAGAGTTTAACCTTTCTTTTGATGGAGCAGTTTGGAAACACTCTGTTTGTAATGTCTGCAAGTGGATATTTGGACCTCTTTGAGGCCTTCTTTGGAAACGGGATTTCTTCAAGTAATGTTCGACAGAAGAATTCTCAGTAACTTATTTGTGGTGTGTGTATTCAACTCACAGAGTTGAACCTTCCTTTAGACAGAGCAGATTTGAAACAGCCTATTTGTGCAGTTTCCAGTTGGAGATTTCAATCGCTTTGAGACCAAATGTAGAAAAGGAAACATCTTCGTATAAAAACTAGACAGAATCATTCTCAGAAACTACTTTGTGATGTGTGCGTTCAACTCAAGGAGTTTAAGCTTTCTTTTCATAGAGTAGTTTGGAAACACTCTGTCTGTAAAGTCTGCAAGCAGATATTTGGACCTCTTTGGGGCCTTCGTTGGAAACGGGATTTCTTCATAGAACGCTAGAAAGAAGAATACTGAGTAAGTTCTTTGTGTTGCCTCTATTCAACTCACAGAGGTGAACTGTCCTTTAGACAGAGCAGATGTGAAACCCTCTTTTTGTGATATTTGCAGGTGGAGATTTTAAGCGCTTTTAGGCCAAATGTAGAAAAGGAAATATCTTCGTATAAAAACTAGACAGAATCATTCTCAGAAACTACTTTGTGATGTGTGCGTTCAATTCACAGAGTATAACCTTTCTTTTGATGGAGGAGTTTGGAGACACTGTCTTTGTAAAGTCTGCAAGTGCATATTTGGACCTCTTTGAGGCCTTCGTTGGAAACGGGATTGCCTCATATAATGTTACACAGAAGAATTCTCAGTAACTTATTTGTGGTGTGTGTATTCAACTAACAGAGTTGAACCTTCCTTCAGAAAGAGCAGATTTGAAACACTCTTTTTGTGGAGTTTCCATGTGGAGATTTCAATCGCATTGAGACCAAAGGTAGAAAAGGAAACATCTTCGTATAAAAACTAGACAGAATCATTCAGAGAAACTACTTTGTGATGTGTGTGTTCAACTCAAGGAGTTTAACCTTTCTTTTGATGGAGCAGTTTGGAAAAACTCTGTCTGTAAAGTCTGCAAGCAGATATTTGGACCTCTTTGAGGCCTTCGTTGGAAACGGGATTTCTTCATATAATGTTTGATAGGAGAAGTCTCAGTAACTTCTTTGTGCTGTGTGTATTCAACTCATAGAGTTGAACTTTCCTTTAGAAGAGCAGATGTTAAACACCCTTTTTGTGGAATTTGCAGCTGGAGATTTCAAGCGCTTTGAGGCCTACGGTAGAAAAGGAAACATCTTCTTATAAAATCTAGACAGAATCATTCACAGAAACTTCTTTTTGATGTGTGTGTTCAGCTCACAGAGTTTAACCTTTCTTTTGATGGAGCAGTTTGGAAACACACTGTTTGTAATGTCTGCAAGTGGATATTTGGACCTCTTTGAGGCCTTCGTTGGAAACGGGATTTCTTCATGTAATGTTCGACAGAAGAATTCTCAGTAACTTATTTGTGGTGTGTGTATTCAACTCACAGAGTTGAACCTTCCTTTAGACAGAGCAGATTTGAAACAGCCTATTTGTGCAGTTTCCAGTTGGAGATTTCAATCGCTTTGAGACCAAATGTAGAAAAGGAAACATCTTCGTATAAAAACTAGACAGAATCATTCCCAGAAACTACTTTGTGATGTGTGCGTTCAACTCAAGGAGTTTAAGCTTTCTTTTCATAGAGTAGTTTGGAAACACTCTGTCTCTAAAGTCTGCAAGCAGATATTTGGACCTCTTTGGGGCCTTCGTTGGAAACGGGATTTCTTCATAGAACGCTAGAAAGAAGAATACTGAGTAAGTTCTTTGTGTTGCCTCTATTCAACTCACAGAGGTGAACTGTCCTTTAGACACAGCAGATGTGAAACCCTCTTTTTGTGATATTTGCAGGTGGAGATTTCAAGCGCTTTTAGGCCAAATGTAGAAAAGGAAATATCTTCGTATAAAAACTAGACAGAATCGTTCTCAGAATCTACTTTGTGATGTGTGCGTTCAATTCACAGAGTATAACCTTTCTTTTGATGGAGGAGTTCGGAGACACTGTCTTTGTAAAGTCTGCAAGTGCCTATTTGGACCTCTTTGAGGCCTTCGTTGGAAACGGGATTTCCTCATATAATGTTACACAGAAGAATTCTCAGTAACTTATTTGTGGTGTGTGTATTCAACTCACAGAGTTGAACCTTCCTTCAGAAAGAGCAGATTTGAAACACTCTTTTTGTGGAGTTTCCATGTGGAGATTTCAATCGCTTTGAGACCAAAGGTAGAAAAGGAAACATCTTCGTATAAAAACTAGACAGAATCATTCACAGAAACTACTTTGTGATGTGTGTGTTCAACTCACAGAGTTTAACCTTTCTTTTGATGGAGCAGTTTGGAAACACTCTGTTTGTCACGTCTGCAAGTGGATATTTGGACCTCTTTGAGGCCTTCGTTGGAAACGGGATTTCTTCCTATAATGTTTGATAGGAGAAGTCTCAGTAACTTCTTTGTGCTGTGTGTATTCAACTCATAGAGTTGAACTTTCCTTTAGAAGAGCAGATGTTAAACACCCTTTTTGTGGAATTTGCAGCTGGAGATTTCAAGCGCTTTGAGGCCTACGGTAGAAAAGGAAACATCTTCTTATAAAATCTAGACAGAATCATTCACAGAAACTTCTTTTTGATGTGTGTGTTCAGCTCACAGAGTTTAACCTTTCTTTTGATGGAGCAGTTTGGAAACACTCTGTTTGTAATGTCTGCAAGTGGATATTTGGACCTCTTTGAGGCCTTCGTTGGAAACGAGATTTCTTCAAGTAATGTTCGACAGAAGAATTCTCAGTAACTTATTTGTGGTGTGTGTATTCAACTCACAGAGTTGAACCTTCCTTTAGACAGAGCAGATTTGAAACACCCTATTTGTGCAGTTTCCAGTTGGAGATTTCAATCGCTTTGAGACCAAATGTAGAAAAGGAAACATCTTCGTATATAAACTAGACAGAATCATTCTCAGCAAACTACTTTGTGATGTGTGCGTTTAACTCAAGGAGTTTAAGCTTTCTTTTCATAGAGTAGTTTGGAAACACTCTGTCTGTAAAGTCTGCAAGCAGATATTTGGACCTCTTTGAGGCCTTCGTTGGAAACGGGATTTCTTCATAGAACGCTAGAAAGAAGAATACTGAGTACGTTCTTTGTGTTGCCTCTATTCAACTCACAGAGGTGAACTGTCCTTTAGACAGAGCAGATGTGAAACCCTCTTTTTGTGATATTTGCAGGTGGAGATTTCAAGCGCTTTTAGGCCAAATGTAGAAAAGGGAATATCTTCGTATGAAAACTAGACAGAATCATTCTCAGAAACTACTTTGTGATGTGTGCGTTCAATTCACAGAGTATAACCTTTCTTTTGATGGAGGAGTTTGGAGACACTGTCTTTGTAAAGTCTGCAAGTGGATATTTGGACCTCTTTGAGGCCTTCGTTGGAAACGGGATTTCCTCATATAATGTTACCCAGAGAATTCTCAGTAACTTATTTGTGGTGTGTGTATTCAACTCACAGAGTTGAACCTTCCTTCAGAAGGAGCAGGTTTGAAACACTCTTTTTGTGGAGTTTCCATGTGGAGATTTCAATCGCTTTGAGACCAAAGGTAGAAAAGGAAACATCTTCGTATAAAAACTAGACAGAATCATTCACAGAAACTACTTTGAGATGTGTGTGTTCAACTCACAGAGTTTAACCTTTCTTTTGATGGAGCAGTTTGGAAACACTCTGTTTGTCACGTCTGCAAGTGGATATTTGGACCTCTTTGAGGCCTTCATTGGAAACGGGATTTCTTCATATAATGTTTGATAGGAGAAGTCTCAGTAACTTCTTTGTGCTGTGTGTATTCAACTCATAGAGTTGAACTTTCCTTTAGAAGAGCAGATGTTAAACACCCTTTTTGTGGAATTTGCAGTTGGAGATTTCAAGCGCTTTGAGGACTACAGTGGAAAAGGAAACATCTTCTTATAAAATCTGGACAGAATAATTCACAGAAACTTCTTCTTGATGTGTGTGTTCAGCTCACCGAGTTTAACCTTTCTTTTGATGGAGCAGTTTGGAAACACTCTGCTTGTAATATCTGCAAGTGGATATTTGGACCTCTTTGAGGCCTTCGTTGGAAACGGGATTTCTTCAAGTAATGTTCGACAGAAGAATTCTCAGTAACTTATTTGTGGTGTGTGTATTCAACTCACAGAGTTGAACCTACCTTTAGACAGAGCAGATTTGAAACACCCTATTTGTGCAGTTTCCAGTTGGAGATTTCAATCGCTTTGAGGCCAATCGTAGAAACGGAAATATCTTCGTAAAAAAACAAGACAGAATCATTCCCCAAAACAACTTTGTGATGTGTGCGTTCAACTCACGGAGTTTAAGCTTTCTTTTCATAGAGCAGTTTGGAAACACTCTGTCTGTAAAGTCTGCAAGCAGATATTTGGACCTCTTTGAGGCCTTCGTTGGAAACGGGATTTCTTCACATAACGCTAGAAAGAAGAATACTGAGTAAGTTCTTTGTGTTGCCTCTATTCAACTCACAGAGGTGAACTGTCCTTTAGACAGAGCAGATGTGAAACCCTCTTTTTGTGATATTTGCAGGTGGAGATTTCAAGCGCTTTTAGGCCAAATGTAGAAAAGGAAATATCTTCGTATAAAAACTAGACAGAATCATTCTCAGAAACTACTTTGTGATGTGTGCGTTCAATTCACAGAGTATAACCTTTCTTTTGATGGAGGAGTTTGGAGACACTGTCTTTGTAAAGTCTGCAAGTGGATATTTGGACCTCTTTGAGGCCTTCGTTGGAAACGGGATTTCCTCACATAATGTTACACAGAAGAATTCTCAGTAACTTATTTGTGGTGTGTGTATTCAACTCACAGAGATGAACCTTCCTTCAGAAAGAGCAGATTTGAAACACTCTTTTTGTGGAGTTTCCATGTGGAGATTTCAATCGCTTTGAGACCAAAGGTAGAAAAGGAAACATCTTCGTATAACAACTAGACAGAATCATTCACAGAAACTACTTTGTGATGTGTGTGTTCAACTCAAGGAGTTTAACCTTTCTTTTGATGGAGCAGTTTGGAAACACTCTGTCTGTAAAGTCTGCAAGCAGATATTTGGACCTCTTTGAGGCCTTCGTTGGAAACGGGATTTCTTCATATAATGTTTGATAGGAGAAGTCTCAGTAACTTCTTTGTGCTGTGTGTATTCAACTCATAGAGTTGAACTTTCCTTTAGAAGAGCAGATGTTAAACACCCTTTTTGTGGAATTTGCAGCTGGAGATTTCAAGCGCTTTGAGGCCTACGGTAGAAAAGGAAACATCTTCTTATAAAATCTAGACAGAATCATTCACAGAAACTTCTTTTTGATGTGTGTGTTCAGCTCACAGAGTTTAACCTTTCTTTTGATGGAGCAGTTTGGAAACACTCTGTTTGTAATGTCTGCAAGTGGATATTTGGACCTCTTTGAGGCCTTCTTTGGAAACGGGATTTCTTCATGTAATGTTCGACAGAAGAATTCTCAGTAACTTATTTGTGGTGTGTGTATTCAACTCACAGAGTTGAACCTTCCTTTAGACAGAGCAGATTTGAAACACCCTATTTGTGCAGTATCTAGTTGGAGATTTCAATCGCTTTGAGACCAAATGTAGAAAAGGAAACATCTTCGTATAAAAACAAGACAGAATCATTCTCAGAAACTACTTTGTGATGTGTGCGTTCAACTCAAGGAGTTTAAGCTTTCTTTTCATAGAGTAGTTTGGAAACATTCTGTCTGTAAAGTCTGCAGGCAGATATTTGGACCTCTTTGGGGCCTTCGTTGGAAACGGGATTTCTTCATAGAACGCCAGAAAGAAGAATACTGAGTAAGTTCTTTGTGTTGCCTCTATTCAACTCACAGAGGTGAACTGTCCTTTAGACAGAGCAGATGTGAAACCCTCTTTTTGTGATATTTGCAGGTGGAGATTTCAAGCGCTTTTAGGCCAAATGTAGAAAAGGAAATATCTTCGTATAAAAACTAGACAGAATCATTCTCAGAAACTACTTTGTGATGTGTGCGTTCAATTCACAGAGTATAACCTTTCTTTTGATGGAGGAGTTTGGAGACACTGTCTTTGTAAAGTCTGCAAGTGGATATTTGGACCTCTTTGAGGCCTTCGTTGGAAACGGGATTTCCTCATATAATGTTACACAGAAGAATTCTCAGTAACTTATTTGTGGTGTGTGTATTCAACTCACAGAGTTGAACCTTCCTTCAGAAAGAGCAGATTTGAAACACTCTTTTTGTGGAGTTTCCATGTGGAGATTTCAATCGCATTGAGACCAAAGGTAGAAAAGGAAACATCTTCGTATAAAAACTAGACAGAATCATTCACAGAAACTACTTTGTGATGTGTGTGTTCAACTCAACGAGTTTAACCTTTCTTTTGATGGAGCAGTTTGGAAACACTCTGTCTGTAAAGTCTGCAAGCAGATATTTGGACCTCTTTGAGGCCCTCGTTGGAAACGGGATTTCTTCATATAATGTTTGATAGGAGAAGTCTCAGTAACTTCTTTGTGCTGTGTGTATTCAACTCATAGAGTTGAACTTTCCTTTAGAAGAGCAGACGTTAAACACCCTTTTTGTGGAATTTGCAGCTGGAGATTTCAAGCGCATTGAGGCCTACGGTAGAAAAGGAAACATCTTCTTATAAAATCTAGACAGAATCATTCACAGAAACTTCTTTTTGATGTGTGTGTTCAGCTCACAGAGTTTAACCTTTCTTTTGATGGAGCAGTTTGGAAACACTCTGTTTGTAATGTCTGCAAGTGGATATTTGGACCTCTTTGAGGCCTTCGTTGGAAACGGGATTTCTTCATGTAATGTTCGACAGAAGAATTCTCAGTAACTTCTTTGTGGTGTGTGTATTCAACTCACAGAGTTGAACCTTCCTTTAGACAGAGCAGATTTGAAACACCCTATTTGTGCAGTTTCCAGTTGGAGATTTCAATCGCTTTGAGACCAAATGTAGAAAAGGAAACATCTTCGTATAAAAACTAGACAGAAATCATTATCAGAAACTACTTTGTGATGTGTGCCTTCAACTCAAGGAGTTTAAGCTTTCTCTTCATACAGTAGTTTGGAAACACTCTGTCTGTAAAGTCTGCAAGCAGATATTTGGACCTCTTTGGGGTCTTCGTTGGAAACGGGATTTCTTCATAGAACGCTAGAAAGAAGAATACTGAGTAAGTTCTTTGTGTTGCCTCTATTCAACTCACAGAGGTGAACTGTCCTTTAGACAGAGCAGATGTGAAACCCTCTTTTTGTGATATTTGCAGGTGGAGATTTCAAGCGCTTTTAGGCCAAATGTAGAAAAGGAAATATCTTCGTATAAAAACTAGACAGAATCATTCTCAGAAACTACTTTGTGATGTGTGCGTTCAATTCACAGAGTATAACCTTTCTTTTGATGGAGGAGTTTGGAGACACTGTCTTTGTAAAGTCTGCAAGTGGATATTTGGACCTCTTTGAGGCCTTCGTTGGAAACGGGATTTCCTCATATAATGTTACACAGAAGAATTCTCAGTAACTTATTTGTGGTGTGTGTATTCAACTCACAGAGATGAACCTTCCTTCAGAAAGAGCAGATTTGAAACACTCTTTTTGTGGAGTTTCCATGTGGAGATTTCAATCTCTTTGAGACCAAAGGTAGAAAAGGAAACATCTTCGTATAACAACTAGACAGAATCATTCACAGAAACTACTTTGTGATGTGTGTGTTCAACTCAAGGAGTTTAACCTTTCTTTTGATGGAACAGTTTGGAAAAACTCTGTCTGTAAAGTCTGCAAGCAGATATTTGGACCTCTTTGGGGCCTTCGTTGGAAACGGGATTTCTTCATAGAATGCTAGAAAGAAGAAGTCTCCGTAACTTCTTTGTGCTGTGTGTATTCAACTTACAGAGCTGAACATTACCTTAGACAGAGCGGATGTTAAACACACTTTTTGTGGAATTTGCAGCTAGAGATTCCTAGCGCTTTGAGGCCTATGGTAGAAAAGGAAACATCTTCTTATAAAATCTAGACAGAATCATTCACAGAAACTTCTTTTTGATGTGTGTGTTCATCTCACAGAGTTTAACCTTTCTTTTCACGGAGCAGTTTGGAAAAACTGTGTTTGCCATGTCGGCAAGTGGATATTTGGACCTCTTTGAGGCCTTCGTTGGAAACGGGATTTCTTCATGTAATGTTCGAGAGAAGAATTCTCAGTAACTTATTTGTGGTGTGTGTATTCAACTCACAGAGTTGAACCTTCCTTTAGACAGAGCAGATTTGAAACACCCTATTTGTGCAGTTTCCAGTGGGAGATTTCAATCGCTTTGAGGCCAATCGTAGAAACGGAAATATCTTCGTATAAATACAAGACAGAATCATTCTCAGAAACTACTTTGTGATGTGTGCGTTCAACTCAAGGAGTTTAAGCTTTCTTTTCATAGAGTAGTTTGGAAACACTCTGTCTGTAAAGTCTGCAAGCAGATATTTGGACCTCTTTGAGGCCTTCATTGGAAACGGGATTTCTTCATGTAACGCTAGAAAGAAGAATACTCAGTAACTTCTTTGTGCTGCCTCTATTCAACTCACAGAGGTGAACTGTCTTTTAGACAGAGCAGATGTGAAACCCTCTTTTTGTGATATTTGCAGGTGGAGATTTCAAGCGCTTTTAGGCCAAATGTAGAAAAGGAAATATCTTCGTATAAAAACTAGACAGAATCATTCTCAGAAACTACTTTGTGATGTGTGCGTTCAATTCACAGAGGATAACCTTTCTTTTGATGGAGGAGTTTGGAGACACTGTCTTTGTAAAGTCTGCAAGTGGATATTTGGACCTCTTTGAGGCCTTCGTTGGAAACGGGATTTCCTCCTATAATGTTACACAGAAGAATTCTCAGTAACTTATTTGTGGTGTGTGTATTCAACTCACAGAGTTGAACCTTCCTTCAGAAAGAGCAGATTTGAAACCCTCTTTTTGTGGAGTTTCCATGTGGAGATTTCAATGGCTTTGAGACCAAAGGTAGAAAACGAAACATCTTCGTATGAAAACTAGACAGAATCATTCACAGAAACTATTTTGTGATGTGTGTGTTCAACTCACAGAGTTTAACCTTTCTTTGGATGGAGCAGTTTGGAAACACTCTGTTTGTCACGTCTGCAAGTGGATATTTGGACCTCTTTGAGGCCTTCGTTGGAAACGGGATTTCTTCATATAATGTTTGAAAGGAGAAGTCTCAGTAACTTCTTTGTGTTGTGTGTATTCAACTCATAGAGTTGAACTTTCCTTTAGAAGAGCAGATGTTAAACACCCTTTTTGTGGAATTTGCAGCTGGAGATTTCAAGCGCTTTGAGGCCTACGGTAGAAAAGGAAACATCTTCTTAGAAAATGCTAGACAGAATCATTCACAGAAACTTCTTTTTGATGTGTGTGTTCAGCTCACAGAGTTTAACCTTTCTTTTGATGGAGCAGTTGGGAAACACACTGTTTGTAATGTCTGCAAGTGGATATTTGGAGCTCTTTGAGGCCTTCGTTGGAAACGGGATTTCTTCCTGTAATGTTCGACAGAAGAATTCTCAGTAACTTATTTGTGGGGTGTGTATTCAACTCACAGAGTTGAAACTTCCTTTAGACAGAGCACATTTGAAACACTCTGTTTGTGCAGTTTCCAGTTGGAGATTTCAATCGCTTTGAGGCCAATCGTAGAAACGGAAATATCTTCGTATAAAAACAAGACAGAATCATTCTCAGAAACTACTTTGTGATGTGCGCGTTCAAGTCACGGAGTTTAAGCTTTCTTTTCATAGAGTAGTTTGGAAACACTCTGTCTGTAAGTCTACAAGCAGATATTTGGACCTCTTTGAGGCCTTCGTTGGAAACGGGATTTCTTCATATAACGCTAGAAAGAAGAATACTCAGTAACTTCTTTGTGTTGCCTCTATTCAACTCACAGAGTTGAACTGTCCTTTAGACAGAGCAGATGTGAAACCCTCTTTTTGTGACATCTGTAGGTGGAGATTTCAAGTGCTTTTAGGCCAAATGTAGAAAAGGAAATATCTTCGTATAAAAACTAGACAGAATCATTCTCAGAAACTACTTTGTGATGTGTGCGTTCAATTCACAGAGTATAACCTTTCTTTTGATGGAGGAGTTTGGAGACACTGTCTTTGTAAAGTCTGCAAGTGGATATTTGGACCTCTTTGAGGCCTTCGTTGGAAACGGGATTTCCTCATATAATGTTACACAGAAGAATTCTCAGTAACTTATTTGTGGTGTGTGTATTCAACTCACAGAGATGAACCTTCCTTCAGAAAGAGCAGATTTCAAACACTCTTTTTGTGGAGTTTCCATGTGGAGATTTCAATCGCTTTGAGACCAAAGGTAGAAAAGGAAACATCTTCGTATAACAACTAGACAGAATCATTCACAGAAACTACTTTGTGATGTGTGTGTTCAACTCAAGGAGTTTAACCTTTCTTTTGATGGAGCAGTTTGGAAACACTCCGTCTGTAAAGTCTGCAAGCAGATATTTGGACCTCTTTGAGGCCTTCGTTGCAAACGGGATTTCTTCATATAATCTTTGATAGGAGAAGTCTCAGTAACTTCTTTGTGCTGTGTGTATTCAACTCATAGAGTTGAACTTTCCTTTAGAAGAGCAGATGTTAAACACCCTTTTTGTGGAATTTGCAGCTGGAGATTTCAAGCGCTTTGAGGCCTACGTTAGAAAAGGAAACATCTTCTTATAAAATCTAGACAGAATCATTCACAGAAACTTCTTCTTGATGTGTGTGTTCAGCTCACAGAGTTTAACCTTTCTTTTGATGGAGCAGTTTGGAAACACTCTGTTTGTAATGTCTGCAAGTGGATATTTGGACCTCTTTGAGGCCTTCGTTGGGAACGGGATTTCTTCATGTAATGTTCGACAGAAGAATTCTCAGTAAGTTATTTGTGGTGTGTGTGTTCAACTCACAGAGTTGAAACTTCCTTTAGACAGAGCAGATTTGAAACACCCTATTTGTGCAGTTTCCAGTTGGAGATTTCAATCGCTTTGAGACCAAATGTAGAAAAGGAAACATCTTCGTATAAAAACTTGACAGAATCATTCTCAGAAACTACTTTGTGATGTGTGCGTTCAACTCAAGGAGTTTAAGCTTTCTTTTCATAGAGTAGTTTGGAAACACTCTGTCTGTAAAGTCTGCAAGCAGATATTTGGACCTCTTTGAGGCCTTCGTTGGAAACGGGATTTCTTCATATAACGCTAGAAAGAAGAATACTCAGTAACTTCTTTGTGTTGCCTCTATTCAGCTCACAGAGATGAACTGTCTTTAGACAGAGCAGATGTGAAACCCTCTTTTTGTGATATTTGCAGGTGGAGATTTCAAGCGCTTTTAGGCCAAATGTAGAAAAGGAAATATCTTCGTATAAAAACTAGACAGAATCATTCTCAGAAACTACTTTGTGATGTGTGCGTTCAATTCACAGAGTATAACCTTTCTTTGATGGAGGAGTTTGGAGACACTGTCTTTTTAAAGTCTGCAAGTGGATATTTGGACCTCTTTGAGGCCTTCGTTGGAAACGGGATTTCCTCATATAATGTTACACAGAAGAATTCTCAGTAACTTATTTGTGGTGTGTGTATTCAACTCACAGAGATGAACCTTCCTTCAGAAAGAGCAGATTTGAAACACTCTTTTTGTGGAGTTTCCATGTGGAGATTTCAATCGCTTTGAGACCAAAGGTAGAAAAGGAAACATCTTCGTATAACAACTAGACAGAATCATTCACAGAAACTACTTTGTGATGTGTGCGTTCAACTCAAGGAGTTTAACCTTTCTTTTGATGGAGCAGTTTAAAAACACTCTGTCTGTAAAGTCTGCAAGCAGATATTTGGACCTCTTTGAGGCCTTCGTTGGAAACGAGATTTCTTCATATAATGTTTGATAGGAGAAGTCTCAGTAACTTCTTTATGCTGTGTGTATTCAACTCATAGAGTTGAACTTTCCTTTAGAAGAGCAGATGTTAAACAGCCTTTTTGTGGAATTTGCAGCTGGAGATTTCAAGCGCTTTGAGGCCTACGGTAGAAAAGGAAACATCTTCTTATAAAATCTAGACAGAATCATTCACAGAAACTTCTTTTTGATGTGTGTGTTCAGCTCACAGAGTTTAACCTTTCTTTTGATGGAGCAGTTTGGAAACACTCTGTTTGTAATGTCTGCAAGTGGATATTTGGACCTCTTTGAGGCCTTCGTTGGAAACGGTATTTCTTCAAGTAATGTTCGACAGAAGAATTCTCTGTAACTTATTTGTGGTGTGTGTATTCAACTCACAGAGTTGAACCTTCCTTTAGACAGAGCAGATTTGAAACACCCTATTTGTGCAGTTTCCAGTTGGAGATTTCAATCGCTTTGAGACCAAAAGTAGAAAAGGAAACATCTTCGTATAAAAACTAGACAGAATCATTCTCAGAAACTACTTTGTGATGTGTGCGTTCAACTCAAGGAGTTTAAGCTTTCTTTTCATAGAGTAGTTTGGAAACACTCTGTCTGTAAAGTCTGCAAGCAGATATTTGGACCTCTTTGGGGCCTTCGTTGGAAACGGGATTTCTTCATAGAACGCTAGAAAGAAGAATACTGAGTAAGATCTTTGTGTTGCCTCTATTCAACTCCTAGAGGTGAACTGTCCTTCAGACAGAGCAGATGTGAAACCCTCTTTTTGTGATATTTGCAGGTGGAGATTTCAAGCGCTTATAGGCCAAATGTAGAAAAGGAAATATCTTCGTATAAAAACTAGACAGAATCATTCTCAGAAACTACTTTGTGATGTGTGCGTTCAATTCACAGTAGTATAACCTTTCTTTTGATGGAGGAGTTTGGAGACCCTGTCTTTGTAAAGTCTGCAAGTGGATATATGGACCTCTTTGAGGCCTTCGTTGGAAACGGGATTTCCTCATATAATGTTACACAGAAGAATTCTCAGTAACTTATTTGTGGTGTGTGTATTCAACTCACAGAATTGAACCTTCCTTCAGAAAGAGCAGATTTGAAACACTCTTTTTGTGGAGTTTCCATGTGGAGATTTCAGTCGCTTTGAGACCAAAGGTAGAAAAGGAAACATCTTCGTATAAAAACTAGACAGAATCATTCACAGAAACTACTTTGAGATGTGTGTGTTCAACTCACAGAGTTTAACCTTTCTTTTGATGGAGCAGTTTGGAAACACTCTGTTTTTCACGTCTGCAAGTGGATATTTGGACCTCTTTGAGGCCTTCATTGGAAACGGGATTTCTTCATATAATGTTTGATAGGAGAAGTCTCAGTAACTTCTTTGTGCTGTGTGTATTCAACTCATAGAGTTGAACTTTCCTTTAGAAGAGCAGATGTTAAACACCCTTTTTGTGGAATTTGCAGCTGGAGATTTCAAGCGCTTTGAGGCCTACGGTAGAAAAGGAAACATCTTCTTATAAAATCTAGACAGAATCATTCACAGAAACTTCTTTTTGATGTGTGTGTTCAGCTCACAGAGTTTAACCTTTCTTTTGATGGAGCAGTTTGGAAACACTCTGTTTGTAATGTCTGCAAGTGGATATTTGGACGTCTTTGAGGCCTTCGTTGGAAACGGGATTTCTTCATGTAATGTTCGACAGAAGAATTCTCAGTAACTTATTTGTGGTGTGTGTATTCAACTCACAGAGTTGAACCTTCCTTTAGACAGAGCAGATTTGAAACAGCCTATTTGTGCAGTTTCCAGTTGGAGATTTCAATCGCTTTGAGACCAAATGTAGAAAAGGAAACATCTTCGTATAAAAACTAGACAGAATCATTCTCAGAAACTACTTTGTGATGTGTGCGTTCAACTCAAGGAGTTTAAGCTTTCTTTTCATAGAGTAGTTTGGAAACACTCTGTCTGTAAAGTCTGCAAGCAGATATTTGACCTCTTTGAGGCCTTCGTTGGAAACGGGATTTCTTCATAGAACGCTAGAAAGAAGAATACTGAGTACGTTCTTTGTGTTGCCTCTATTCAACTCACAGAGGTGAACTGTCCTTTAGACAGAGCAGATGTGAAACCCTCTTTTTGTGATATTTGCAGGTGGAGATTTCAAGCGCTTTTAGGCCAAATGTAGAAAAGGAAATATCTTCGTATAAAAACTAGACAGAATCATTCTCAGAAACTACTTTGTGATGTGTGCGTTCAATTCACAGAGTATAACCTTTCTTTTGATGGAGGAGTTTGGAGACACTGTCTTTGTAAAGTCTGCAAGTGGATATTTGGACCTTTTTGAGGCCTTCGTTGGAAACGGGATTTCTTCAAGTAATGTTCGACAGAAGAATTCTCAGTAACTTATTTGTGGTGTGTGTATTCAACTCACAGAGTTGAACCTTCCTTCAGAAAGAGCAGATTTGAAACACTCTTTTTGTGGAGTTTCCATGTGGAGATTTCAATCGCTTTGAGACCAAAGGTAGAAAAGGAAACATCTTCGTATAAAAACTGGACAGAATCATTCTCAGAAACTACTTTGTGATGTGTGCGTTCAAATCAAGGAGTTTAAGCTTTCTTTTCATAGACTAGTTTGGAAACACTCTGTCTGTAAAGTCTGCAAGCAGATATTTGGACCTCTTTGAGGCCTTCGTTGGAAACGGGATTTCTTCATATAATGTTTGATAGGAGAAGTCTCAGTAACTTCTTTGTCCTGTGTGTATTCAACTCATAGAGTTGAACTTTCCTTTAGAAGAGCAGATGTTAAACACCCTTTTTGTGGAATTTGCAGCTGGAGATTTCAAGCGCTTTGAGGCCTACGGTAGAAAAGGAAACATCTTCTTATAAAATCTAGACAGAATCATTCACAGAAACTTCTTTTTGATGTGTGTGTTCAGCTCACAGAGTTTAACCTTTCTTTTGATGGAGCAGTTGGGAAACACACTGTTTGTAATGTCCGCAAGTGGATATTTGGACCTCTTTGAGGCCTTCGTTGGAAACGGGATTTCCTCATATAATGTTACACAGAAGAATTCTCAGTAACTTATTTGTGGTGTGTGTATTGAACTCACAGAGTTGAACCTCTCTTTAGACAGAGCAGATTTGAAACACCCTATTTGTGCAGTGTCCAGTTGGAGATTTCAATCGCTTTGAGACAAATGAAGAAAAGGAAATATCTTCGTATAAAAACTAGACAGAATCATTCTCAGAAACTACTTTGTGATGTGTGCGTTCAACTCAAGGAGTTTAAGCTTTCTTTTCATAGAGTAGTTTGGAAACACTCTGTCTGTAAAGTCTGCAAGCAGATATTTGGACCTCTTTGAGGCCTTCGTTGGAAACGGGATTTCTTCATAGAACGCTAGAAAGAAGAATACTGAGTAAGTTCTTTGTGTTGCCTCTATTTAACTCACAGAGGTGAACTGTCCTTTAGACAGAGCAGATGTGAAACCCTCTTTTTGTGATATTTGCAGGTGGAGATTTCAAGCGCTTTTAGGCGAAATGTAGAAAAGGAAATATCTTCGTATAAAAACTAGACAGAATCATTCTCAGAAACTACTTTGTGATGTGTGCGTTCAATTCACAGAGTATAACCTTTCTTTTGATGGAGGAGTTTGGAGACACTGTCTTTGTAAAGTCTGCAAGTGGATATTTGGACCTCTTTGAGGCCTTCGTTGGAAACGGGATTTCCTCATATAATGTTACACAGAAGAATTCTCAGTAACTTATTTGTGGTGTGTGTATTCAACTCACAGAGTTGAACCTTCCTTCAGAAAGAGCAGATTTGAAACACTCTTTTTGTGGAGTTTCCATGTGGAGATTTCAATCGCTTTGAGACCAAAGGTAGAAAAGGAAACATCTTCGTATAAAAACTAGACAGAATCATTCACAGAAACTACTTTGTGAAGTGTGTGTTCAACTCAAGGAGGTTAACCTTTCTTTTGATGGAGCAGTTTGGAAACACTCTGTCTGTAAAGCCTGCAAGCAGATATTTGGACCTCTTTGTGGCCTTCGTTGGAAACGGGATTTCTTCATACAACGCTAGAAAGAAGAATACTCAGTAACTTCTTTGTGTTGCCTCTATTCAGCTCACAGAGATGAACTGTCTTTAGACAGAGCAGATGTGAAACCCTCTTTTTGTGATATTTGCAGGTGGAGATTTCAAGCGCTTTTAGGCCAAATGTAGAAAAGGAAATATCTTCGTATAAAAACTAGACAGAATCATTCTCAGAAACTACTTTGTGATGTGTGCGTTCAATTGACAGAGTATAACCTTTCTTTTGATGGAGGAGTTTGGAGACACTGTCTTTGTAAAATCTGCAAGTGGATATTTGGACCTCTTTGAGGCCTTCGTTGGAAACGGGATTTCCTCATATAATGTTACACAGAAAGAATTCTCAGTAACTTATTTGTGGTGTGTGTATTCAACTCACAGAGATGAACCTTCCTTCAGAAAGAGCAGATTTGAAACACTCTTTTTGTGGAGTTTCCATGTGGAGATTTCAATCGCTTTGAGACCAAAGGTAGAAAAGGAAACATCTTCGTATAACAACTAGACAGAATCATTCACAGAAACTACTTTGTGATGTGTGTGTTCAACTCAAGGAGTTTAACCTTTCTTTTGATGGAGCAGTTTGGAAACACTCTGTCTGTAAAGTCTGCAAGCAGATATTTGGACCTCTTTGAGGCCTTCGTTGGAAACGGGATTTCTTCATATAATGTTTGATAGGAGAAGTCTCAGTAACTTCTTTGTGCTGTGTGTATTCAACTCATAGAGTTGAACTTTCCTTTAGAAGAGCAGATGTTAAACACCCTTTTTGTGGAATTTGCAGCTGGAGATTTCAAGCGCTTTGAGGCCTACGGTAGAAAAGGAAACATCTTCTTATAAAATCTAGACAGAATCATTCACAGAAACTTCTTTTTGATGTGTGTGTTCAGCTCACCGAGTTGAACCTTTCTGTTGATGGAGCAGTTTGGAAACACTCCGTTTGTAATGTCTGCAAGTGGATATTTGGACCTCTTTGAGGCCTTCGTTGGAAACGGGATTTCTTCCTGTAATGTTCGACAGAAGAATTCTCAGTAACTTATTTGTGGTGTGTGTATTCAACTCACAGAGTTGAACCTTCCTTTAGACAGAGCAGATTTGAAACACCCTATTTGTGCAGTTTCCAGTTGGAGATTTCAATCGCTTTGAGACCAAATGTAGAAAAGGAAACATCTTCGTATAAAAACTAGACAGA